>NC_000021.9:8986604-9196087 GCF_000001405.40 Homo sapiens
GATCCCGCGGCCGTGTTTTCCTGGTGGCCCGGCCGTGCCTGAGGTTTCTCCCCGAGCCGCCGCCTCTGCGGGCTCCCGGGTGCCCTTGCCCTCACGGTCCCCGGCCCTCGCCCGTCTGTGCCCTCTTCCCCGCCCGCCGCCCGCCGATCCTCTTCTTCCCCCCGAGCGGCTCACCGGCTTCACGTCCGTTGGTGGCCCCGCCTGGGACCGAACCCGGCACCGCCTCGTGGGGCGCCGCCGCCGGCCACTGATCGGCCCGGCGTCCGCGTCCCCCGGCGCGCGCCTTGGGGACCGGGTTGGTGGCGCCCCGCGTGGGGCCCGGTGGGCTTCCCGGAGGGTTCCGGGGGTCGGCCTGCGGCGCGTGCGGGGGAGGAGACGGTTCCGGGGGACCGGCCGCGACTGCGGCGGCGGTGGTGGGGGGAGCCGCGGGGATCGCCGAGGGCCGGTCGGCCGCCCCGGGTGCCGCGCGGTGCCGCCGGCGGCGGTGAGGCCCCGCGCGTGTGTCCCGGCTGCGGTCGGCCGCGCTCGAGGGGTCCCCGTGGCGTCCCCTTCCCCGCCGGCCGCCTTTCTCGCGCCTTCCCCGTCGCCCCGGCCTCGCCCGTGGTCTCTCGTCTTCTCCCGGCCCGCTCTTCCGAACCGGGTCGGCGCGTCCCCCGGGTGCGCCTCGCTTCCCGGGCCTGCCGCGGCCCTTCCCCGAGGCGTCCGTCCCGGGCGTCGGCGTCGGGGAGAGCCCGTCCTCCCCGCGTGGCGTCGCCCCGTTCGGCGCGCGCGTGCGCCCGAGCGCGGCCCGGTGGTCCCTCCCGGACAGGCGTTCGTGCGACGTGTGGCGTGGGTCGACCTCCGCCTTGCCGGTCGCTCGCCCTTTCCCCGGGTCGGGGGGTGGGGCCCGGGCCGGGGCCTCGGCCCCGGTCGCGGTCCCCCGTCCCGGGCGGGGGCGGGCGCGCCGGCCGGCCTCGGTCGGCCCTCCCTTGGCCGTCGTGTGGCGTGTGCCACCCCTGCGCCCGCGCCCGCCGGCGGGGCTCGGAGCCGGGCTTCGGCCGGGCCCCGGGCCCTCGACCGGGACCGGTGCGCGGGCGCTGCGGCCGCACGGCGCGACTGTCCCCGGGCCGGGCACCGCGGTCCGCCTCTCGCTCGCCGCCCGGACGTCGGGGCCGCCCCGCGGGGCGGGCGGAGCGCCGTCCCCGCCTCGCCGCCGCCCGCGGGCGCCGGCCGCGCGCGCGCGCGCGTGGCCGCCGGTCCCTCCCGGCCGCCGGGCGCGGGTCGGGCCGTCCGCCTCCTCGCGGGCGGGCGCGACGAAGAAGCGTCGCGGGTCTGTGGCGCGGGGCCCCGGTGGTCGTGTCGCGTGGGGGGCGGGTGGTTGGGGCGTCCGGTTCGCCGCGCCCCGCCCCGGCCCCACCGGTCCCGGCCGCCGCCCCCGCGCCCGCTCGCTCCCTCCCGTCCGCCCGTCCGCGGCCCGTCCGTCCGTCCGTCCGTCGTCCTCCTCGCTTGCGGGGCGCCGGGCCCGTCCTCGCGAGGCCCCCCGGCCGGCCGTCCGGCCGCGTCGGGGCCTCGCCGCGCTCTACCTACCTACCTGGTTGATCCTGCCAGTAGCATATGCTTGTCTCAAAGATTAAGCCATGCATGTCTAAGTACGCACGGCCGGTACAGTGAAACTGCGAATGGCTCATTAAATCAGTTATGGTTCCTTTGGTCGCTCGCTCCTCTCCTACTTGGATAACTGTGGTAATTCTAGAGCTAATACATGCCGACGGGCGCTGACCCCCTTCGCGGGGGGGATGCGTGCATTTATCAGATCAAAACCAACCCGGTCAGCCCCTCTCCGGCCCCGGCCGGGGGGCGGGCGCCGGCGGCTTTGGTGACTCTAGATAACCTCGGGCTGATCGCACGCCCCCCGTGGCGGCGACGACCCATTCGAACGTCTGCCCTATCAACTTTCGATGGTAGTCGCCGTGCCTACCATGGTGACCACGGGTGACGGGGAATCAGGGTTCGATTCCGGAGAGGGAGCCTGAGAAACGGCTACCACATCCAAGGAAGGCAGCAGGCGCGCAAATTACCCACTCCCGACCCGGGGAGGTAGTGACGAAAAATAACAATACAGGACTCTTTCGAGGCCCTGTAATTGGAATGAGTCCACTTTAAATCTAATCCAGGAAAAGAGTACAAAACGCCACATTCTCACTTGTATTGGGAGCTGAAAAATGGGATCACATGGACGCAGGAAGGGGAACAACACACACTGGGGCTTTTCGGGAGACAGAGCGTTAAGAAAAACAGCTGTTGCATGCTGGGCTTAATACCTAGGTTATGGGTTGACAGGTGCAGCAAACCACCATGGCACTCGTTTACCTTAGTAACAAATATGCACATCCTGTCCATATACCCCAGAACTTAGAAACAGAACGAAACAAAAGAAAACCAGAAAGCAATAGCAAACCGCTAGCGGGAAAACAATTTTTCAAACTCAGAAAATGACAGACCAATTTTTCCTTCAAATCATGGTTCTTAACCCAGGTGCCATAAAGTCAGGGTAAAGAATTTGATTACATATTGTAAATAAGACATGCAGCAAATGACCAGAAAAATTATTCCCAACATATGTGTGTCTTTGAATTCAATGGTGACGCTATCTACCGGGACATAACATTAGATTCCAAAGGGCCGAGTCCTGCAAGACTGTCCTCCCATTAATAACAATGGAAAGCCCTACGTTGTTTTAGCTGCTTTTCTCAGCAGCTGGTTATAAATCAGGTTTCCACCACTCCCTGTTATAGTTGCATCCATTTGCTGGAAGAGCTCACAACACGCAGGGAGGCCATTACATTTACCATTTTATTGTTGCAGATATTGCAAAAAATTTAGAAAAATTTTTGGTCCCGTCTTGTTTGGAGTGGCACTCTACCTTCCAGTTAGTGTTATCCAGAAGCTCTCTACAGCCATTCCTTTTGGATTTTTTTGGAGACCTCACTCTAGAGGCATGATGGGTTAAACTATAGGCTGTTGGTCATCAACTCAACCTGAGGCTCTGAACCCTCCCTGGGAATTGGGGTTGAGGCTTTGTAAAAGAATTTGCACAAACGGAATTTTAAAACAGATTAGCGTAACTGGAATCTTAATTAGATGATTGAATTATCTGGAGTCACACCTTGATATTGCTAAACCGAGCACCCTCATCCAAAGAAGGTTCCTCCCAATTGGCTCCTAAGTCTCTACCTGGTTCCAGAGCAAAAGAATGTTTTATACAAGGCATATCTCCACCTCTTCAAAGTCTTTTCGCTTACACGGGTTATTCTTAAACCGCCATGCATCATGGTCAGGGGGAGGGCTTGTTACAACACAGATCTGTGGATCTCCGTGTTTTGAGGGTTGAAAGGATGCTGCCGTTGTCAAAAGCACAATGTGACAACCTCAGAACCACTAGTTGGTTTTCAGTGTTTCAGTGCATTTAATTCATAATATATTTGGTCAAGAAAACTTGTAAGTTCTTAAGTTGTCCCAAAGGTGGCACATGAAATCAAATCAGGAGAATAGTTTCCTACGAGGTGTTTCCTGGTTAAGTTGTGGGTGACTCATGGAAAGGAGGAGTGAAGCGTCGCCCTTTCCACTGCTAGGCTGCGCGCGATGCTATTTAAACCCACCCTGACGGGCCTGTACTCAGATCTTCACAGAGCCGAGCAGCGGCCGGAGCATTTTGCCAGCTCTGCATGGACTTGTAGCTCACAGGGTCTTGCGACTTGGAGTCGGATTCAGAGGACTGGACAGAACACTTGGATTAAGTGAGTCTGTCTGTCTGTCTCATTGGTTGGTTTTTCCATTTTCTTAAGGAGCGCATACCTCACACCACACACACACACACACAGACACTCTCACACTCACACACACTCCTTCATTCTCAGGGTTTGAAAATTTGTTGGGGTCCCTGGGAGCTTCAGGTTTTGTAATCCTGTCTGCACCTGAAAACAGTAGGGTCTTGTCTGGCTCTTCTTGTGAACAGTCCCTCAGCCCGGATTCCCCAAGTTCGATGATGCTAGCCTCACCCAGCTTCTCCCTCTCCCCTCTCAGTAACTCAGACTTAAGAGGAAGCTCCTCACCAGGGATCCGGAGCTACCATTCACCATCCCCTAGGGCTTCTCCACACTCAACTCTGTCATCCCCAGAATCCCACAAGCTCCCATTTCCCTGTCCTCACCGCGATGGGCAATCAATGAAGCCATTGGGCTCTCCCATGTCATCCTCTGATTATTCTTCAGAGTCACCGCGTTCATCAATTATGTACCACATGTTCTTACTGCCATCACCCAGCAACTCTCCCCCAGCTCTGGGGGAGTCTCCTCTGTCTCCCAGCTACTCTCCAAACAACCCCAGATTTCAGCTGGAGTCAGCCTCCCACATCCAGGATCACCTACAAACTCATGAGCCTCACGGTGCTCCTCCCCTATGTCTTTCATCTCTTCACCCCCAGGCCTCAGGGACTCTCCTGTGGCTCCCAGTTACTCTCCAGCCATCCCCAGGTTCCTGCGGGAGTCAGCCCCATGCACCCAGGAGTCCCACAGAGACCCACAGTCTCGGGAGAATATGAGCGGTCCACCAGCCCTGACTCCTCAAGATTCATGCCTGCCTCAGCCAGCTTCTCCCTCTCCCCTCCCAGAAACTCATACCCAAGGGGCAGCTCCTCACCAGGGATGTGGAAGTACTCTACATCATCTCACAGGGCTTCACCACTCTCACCTCCCTCATCGACAGAATTTCACAACTTTACTTTTCCCTTTCATAACCAATCACTACAATCACTCATGTCATTGTGTTCTCCCGTGTCCTCCTCTGGAGATTCTTCACAGTCACCTCGTTCATCAATTATATACCATATGTTCTTACTGCCATCATCCAGCAGCTCACCCCCACCCATCAACGACTCTCCTTTCTGTCCCAGCTACTGTCCAACTATGTCCAGTTTTCAGTGGTTTTATGTCTCCCACACCCCAGAAACACCTAGAAAGTCAGAGACCTCAGTGAGATCCTCGCCAGTCTCTCTCACGTCTTCACCACCAGCCCTTACGAACCCTCCTGTCTGTCCCAGCTACTCTCCAACCACGCCCACATTTCAGCCCCAGTCATTTCCAGGATCCCAGGGATCACCACCAAGCTCCCCACTTTCACTGTGTTACTCCCCAGTCCCTACCACGTGTTTATCTCCAAACCTCAGGAAATCTCCTGTCTGTCCCAGCTACTTTCCAACTTCGCCTACATTTCAGCAGGAGTTCATTGCAGGCACCGAGAAATCACCACCAAACTCACCAATTTCACTGCGTTACTCCCCAGTTTCTCTCATGTCTTCACCATCCCTCAGGGACTGTCCCTTCTGTCCCAGCTACTCTCCACCCACGCCCAGATTTCAGCTGGAGTCAGTTCCAGGCACCCCAAAATCACCACCAAACTCACCTATTTCATTCAATTTCTTCCCAGTCTCTCTCATGTCTTTACCCCCAGCCCCCTGGGACTCTCCTGTCTGTCCCAGCTACTCTACCAGCAAGCCCAGATTTCAGCGGGACTCAGCCTCCTACACTCTGGAATCACCTACAGACTCACAAACCTCACTGGGGTCCTCCCTTGTCTCCCTCAGGTCTTTGCCCTCAGCCCACAGTATCTCTTTCAGCTACTCTGAATACTTTTCTAGATTCCAGCTGGAGTCAGTTCCAGGCACCCACGACACACCACCAATCTCACCCATATCACTGACTCATGTTTTCACCCCCAGCCCTCAAGGACTCTTCTGTCTCTCTCATTTACTCTCCAACCATCTCCAGATGTCAGCTGGAGTCAACTTCCCACACCCAGGAGTCACCTAGAAACTCACAGAACTTACTGCCACCCTCCCCCATTTCTTTCACCTCTTCACCCCCAAACTTCAGGACTCTACTCTGTCTCCCAGCTTCTCTCCAGCCTTCCCCTGATTTCTGCAGCAGTCAGCCCCAGGCACCCAGGAGAACCCTAAAAACTCACAGGTCTCACACTACTATTTCCCTATGACCTGTATCTATACAGTGATGGCTCCCACATAGCCCTCAGTGACCCCAAACCCATCTCCACTTATACTCAGACACTCCCAGGCCTATCAGCTACTCCCATTATTGTCCTTCAGTTCGAAGCCCTGGCCAATCCACTAGCCTCCATGAAGCAGTTACATGACCATTTCTCCACTTTTCTGATGAGGGCTCCACACGCAGCTACTGAAGATTCCCTCCTGCATTCCTTCCTGACACACAGGCCTGTCCATCTACTTGCTACTCTCACACTCTTGCCAGCAGAAGGGGCTCCTCTAATGGCCCATATCACCACAAAGGCTATTGTCACCCCACAGCTGTGTAGCACGACCTTCCTGCTTGCCGACGTGGCTGCCAGTGCCCATGCTGACAGGAACCTCTACCATGTCGGCATCCCTGTGGGTGACACTACTGGTGTGACATTGCTAGCATGACCCTCCTACCTGGCAGTGACACTGTTGATGTGAGCCCCCATTTTCAGGTCTGTGATTTGTAAATAGGGTCATTTTCCCTTTTCTTTCTTTCTGCCATTCATAGGGCTTTTCATTCTCTCTGTTTCTGTCTCCATTTCAGATATTTACTCACCCCTTTTCTCTTTTCCCTATGTCTCCTGTGGTCTTAATGAGAGTGTGCCACATAAGATTCCCCCAATAAAAGTGATGAATTGAGTGGCTTTTAGTATACTTGTTGTTGTGCACATTTAATTTTAATTCACAATCCATTTTAGACCATTATATCATCCCCTAGCAGAGAACCCTGTAAGCATTAATCATTCCTCATTCTGTCTCAAACCCTCTCTCCGATGCTCAGCACTAGGTAACAACTACATAGAGTGCTCAAACCTATCTCCATAGATTTGCATGTTGTGGACATTTCCTATAAACAGAATTATACAGTATGTAAGCTTTTATGACTGACTTTACACTTATCAGAATATTTTCAAAGTTCATCCACATTGTAGCGTTATCCAGAGTGAGAAACAATTTTTTTTTTTTTAGTAACACCAGGCGTTTTCTCCTGGCTTCCTTCCTTCCTCCTATTTCTCTCTTACTCCTTCTGCCCTCTGTGTTTTATATTCCTTAGGTGCATCCTACTTTCTGTGTTTTTTTGGGAAATCCTGGACAGTTGCAGGAAAATTGTGTTATTGTTTTTGTTTACTGGTATCTCTCTTTCATGGTTCTCCATCAATTGTAAACATCTATTGGTTTCTCCCAAGTCACTAAGTATGTTTTAATTAGGTACACCTGTTTTTCTTTATACATCTCTTTCTGGAGTATAGGGTTACATACTGATGAACCCAGTGTAACTCAAGAACGCATCTAATATCCTAATAAACCCATCGTAATGTTGAAAAATCATAAATCAAACCATCATAAGTCAGGGTTTGTCCGTGGTTATGGGTTTCATCATTTCTGTTGTAATCATTAATGCCGTACACGTTTAAAAATGACATAGTGGTAGGGAAGGGATAATCCTAGCATTTTAAAATTCAGTTGTTACAGGGATCCCACATAATATTTTGTCATTTATATGAGGGTGGATGAGGGCTGAAATTTCATCTTGGGTCTTGGAACAGATTCATGGGCACACATTTTAAAGCGATTGGTCCTCAGTTCTGCAGATTAAGAAACTTCAATTTATTGATTCCCCAGGGTAATGAGAAAATGCATTGAGTGATATATAACATCCACCACATTCACAGGAAATGCTGTCCTGGATCAAAAACTGACCTGGTCATTGAATTATGTTGGAGAACTCATAAAAATTCCATGGAGAAAGTGATATTCAAGTTGGGTCATGAATTCTGAGTAAAAGTATAAAGCAAAGGAGAGGATAGCCTTACAGAGATAACAATAGCAACAAAGTCACAGACTTGTGGAAATGGAAGACCGGGGTAGAAATTAGGACAGTTCATATTCAAGCAAACAGGGTTGGGTTTGTGAACAAATACCTTGAAGCTTTGGATGCCTTGGAGCCCTTGACAGTTTTTGAGAATGTATCAAAACAATTAAATAGTCTATTTGGAAGTGAGAGCCCTGGTACTTCTAGGATGTAACTTTTGATCAATAATGAGAATAGAGTAATAAAGAAATGTGTTATCACTCTAATTGACAACTCTCGTTATGGCACAGAAAAAGATATGTCTATCTTGGCAACAGAATTGTATCCCAGAAAATATCTAATACATAATATATATAGTAATGTAGTAAGTGAACAAAATAGTATTTCAATCTATACAGAAAGAAAATTTTTCAGGAAATATTGTTGACAAAACTCGACAAACAATTGGAGAATCAGAAAATAAGATCTTCCTTTCATACCACACACAGGGATTAAAAACAATAGAAGCATTAGAAGTGAATATAGACATGTGTTTATTGGGAATCAGGGTAAGGAAAGTCTTTATGATCCTACAGGAAAATACACAATCCAGAATAAAAACACAGATAAATTTTGACAAATCAAGTTGTTTTTAATTTAAACTTCTTTACGGTATAACATTTCAAACTGGGGAATAATTAATCATTTATAACAGAGTCAATACCATTAGTTTAGACAGAATTTAAAATAAATGAATGAAGAAAGTGGGCAAAGGATATAAACGGAAAATTCACCACCATTGTTATATCAACGTCTGTTCAACATTTCCATGATCAACGAAATGCAGTCAATAATAAGTCAGCATGTTCAGTCTACCAAATAGTGATAACATTAAGAAAATGATTATTTCTAGTTTAGCTACACTGAAATTGGAAGTAAAAGTTTACTGGAGGACAAGGTAGTATGGGATCTAAAAACTAAATTATCTTAGGCAACCATTACAAATGATTTCATGATGTAGTGAAAATCTGTCTACAATATACGATCTGTGATTAAAAAAAATGCTTACAAGCTATTACAGGCCATTTGCTAGAGGGGATTTAATATATATATATATATATATATATATATATATATATATATATATGCTCACGAACATCAGAAAATAAATAAGCCAAGATATTAATATTGTGTTCACGTGTGCTAGGATTACAGCAGACTTTAAATTCGTTAGATTTTTTTCTTTCTTTATGTTGAATATGCACACTTTTTAAAATAAACCTTTAAACGTAATTTACATCAAAACAACCAGTAATACTGCATATGCAATGGTGATGGATATGGATTTTTTTGAGAATATTGTAATGTTTTCTTTAACACGAATGTGTCAGGAGTGAGTAAAGACGTTCTAAAAATAGAAAAAATTAGCTGGGCGCTATGGTGGGGCCTGTAATCCCAGCTATTTGGGAGGCCAAGGCAGGAGAATCACTTGAACCCGGGAGGCAGAGGTTGCAGTGAGCCGAGATCATGCCACTGCACTCTAGCCTGGTCCACAGAGTGAGACTGCGTCTCAAAAAAAAAAAAAAAAAAAAAAAAGAAAGAGAGAAGGAAGGAAGGAAGGAAGGAGTGGTGGTTCCGAAACCCGAATATAGGACCACAGGACACCATGGAGGACCACCTCTGTTTTCTGAGTAGTGGGGGGAACTAGAGGGGGCGCTCATTTATGGCCCTATATGGACCCTAATTCAGACTTCCTGGCGGAGGGTCCTGGGAAATGTCCGACCGTCTGGAGTCACTCACTTCCACTTCCGTCAGGAACCACACTGAGCTCATCTCAGAGAATGCTGAAGCACTCTGGGAAACACTTACATTTACGAGTTTATTATAAAGGATATTGCAAAAATTTCAGAAAAAAAAATTCATGGGACAAGGCATGCGAAGAGATGCACTGCCTTCCGGGAAGTTATATCCAGAAGCTTTCTAAACCCAGTGCTTTTGAGGATTTATAGATAACTTGGGAATTAATACTCTACAACCTGTGATGGAGCAGGGAGCAGGGTCAGCTGTCCATTAGCATCTCTTGTGAGGTCTCTCCATTTTCATAAAGAGGCTTGAGAAAATCTCCAGATTTGCCTGAGGGTAGACACAAGGGAATGCTCAGTAATACTCAATGTTATCAGCCTACTGGACTTGGTATAAAAGACTTTTTGAGCACTATATTGCCTATTAAAAAACAGTAAAGTGTAAAAGATAGTTCTTTAGACAAATTGGGCCACGGAAATGCCAAATCATTAGTTTTGGTGTCTGTAATGCCTCACAAAGTTATAAACTTTTATGAATAATTTGCTAAGGAATTAGCTCTAATGACAGGTAGTTTATTTATATACCTTCATAACATCTACAGGTATCTATGCACATGACATTATAGAAATATTTGTTTGGGTTTTTCTCAACCAGTCATTTTCTACACCATAATTCCAGCTCAGCCCACTCCACTTGCAATTGCTTGCTCTCATCTTCTAACTCCTGTTTATTCTTCTCAATTTCTGCTGTAATGGCTTCATTTAACCTGCTCCTCCGTATCTTGTATGCTTTTTAGTTCACTGCTTATTTCCTTCTTCCTGCTGGAAAACTTGGCTAAATAACTTGTATTAATATTTTAGCCTCATTTAGCTTCAAGATTATCTCATAAGGATATCTGAGCACCAACTTCCCTTACTCCAGCTCTCAGACTTCTTTCCATTGTTATGACAATTGAAGGCTTCTTAAATTCCTGTCCTAGGAGAAGTTGCTCATAATTTGCCATACATCTATGATGTTTTAATTAATACTGACCTCTGAATGATCTAGAAAATAATGTTAAACCATGTACACATATTTGTGTGTGTGCATGTGTGCATGTATCCATAGCATCTGTGTGTGTGTACATTTTATAGATTTTTGTCTTTGTATGAAGAAATATACTGAATATCCAAATAATCATAATTTCTATACAAGTGAGGTATGTGGGTTAAAATCTAGTGAACAAAATATAACTATACATTCATGATTTGGAAACCTTTTAACATGATTTTGAGGAATTACTCAATTGTTAATTGTTTCTGCCTTCTCTAACAAAATGACTAATATTTGGACTGAAAAGAAAAAAAGAAAACCTCCGTAAGTGGAATTTCTGTAGGTGGTAGCTCTGGAATATCCCACCAAGAGAATGAATCCGATTAAAATAATGACTGTAGAAATTTCCTTGTTAGCGAATATTCAGCCTGGCCTTAAGGAAAATGTAGCTCTCTCTTACTGCTTTGTATCTTATTTCTTTTACTATGTCAATTCTCACCTTAGTAGAACTACTACTAGTTCTAGTACCATGGCTGTCATAGATGCAACCATTATATTCCATTTAGTTTCTTCCTCAGGTTCCCTAACAATTGTTTGAAACTGAATATATATGTTTATGTATGTGTGTGTGTTCACTGTCATGTATATGGTGTATATGGGATGTGTGCAGTTTTCAGTTATATATATATTCATATATACATATGCATATATATGTATAATATACATATATACATGCATACACATATATAATATACATATATATACACATATATGCACACATATAGTCACTGAGTTCCAAAGTGAGTCTTTATTTGGGGCAATTGTATTCTCTCCCCTCTGTCTGCTCACTGGCCTTTGCAAGACATAGCAATTGCTTGATTTTCCTTTGGATAAGAGTCTTATCTTCGGCACTCTTGACTCTAGCCTTAACTTTAGATTTCTATTCCAGAATACCTCTCATATCTATCTTAAGACCTAAGATGGGTAAAGAGGTCATAAGATTTGTAGTATGAAAGAGTTTGCTTAGTTAAATTATATCTCAGGAAACTCATTCATCTACAAGTTAAATTGTAAAATGATTGTTTGTTGTATCTGAAAAAATGTTTAGAACAAGAAATGTAACTGGGTAGCCTGTTATATCAAAGAACCCTCGATTTATTAAGTCTCCTCATAGCCATATCCTTATATAGCCCTCTCTGACACTGACTTAATAGACACTTGATAAATGATAGTAAATTTAGGCTTGGCAAATTAAAATGGCACCAATGCCAAGTGAGAACCTGATCTACTCTACCAGAGAGACTAAGTGGAGGAGAACCCAGCTGATAGCACCAGTGAACTACCAGATATTTGAGTGATGTCACTTTGGACTATGTAGGCCTTGTCAGTCATATAAGGAAACCTAGGCAAGACTCCAAATATTTTCCTCCGGAGCCCAACCAAAGTTAACAAATTGTGAGTATGTGTTTTCAGCAACTAAGTTTGATGACTGCTAATTACACAGCAATGGCTAACTGAAATAACAACTAAAAATTAAAGATGAGATAATGAACTGTGTTTAAAAATTTAGCAAGTGAGTACTTCATGAATATATTTACCTTGATGGCATTACAAGCTAAGTTTTACTGAGCTTTATTAGAACAAATTATTTGAGCATTGAAGAGAAAGTGAACTTTCAAACTATCTTATTTACGTTTATGTTTCAGTTATCCCACAAAAGCAGGAAATCACTTTCAACAATGCACCTGAGATATTTTACAGTAACTCTCTTGTTATTTCCAGGTATCAGGTGGAGAAATACGGATCAGACACAAAGACAATAATGTTCATTGCTCTCTAGCTGAATACTTTTTCTCAAATGGGTTTATTAGTAAATTGATGACAACTTGATTTGATGTTTACTCTGATTGATGTGTGATGTAAAGTTCTTCCTAAAGCCCCCTTTCTTTTCCTTTTTAAAATTATTAATGTAGACGAATACAGAGAATGTGAACATATTAGATATATAGATATCACAACAGGAGAACAGTCAATGTTATGTTTTAGACTATTTCAACCCTAAAATGTGGACACAGGTTGGAATGAGGATCCATTTCAGCATAATAGCCTCCAATGGAGTGGGGAACATATAAAATCCTGTGTTGCTTTATGAAATGTTGCTTATTTGCTTCATGTTTTTAAAAAGTATCAGTTTTATTTAATAGTGGGATCTTTATGTCAGGGATTACTGATGTTTCCAGCAAGCTAATTCGTACCAGGGAGACAATGTAAACATTTAGAAAGGGGATTATATTTCTGTTCTGTCTGCATATGTCAGATGACAATGAGAGTTTCAAAGTACAATCCTAAGAAGGGTTGTATTGTAGATTTAGCCTAGAAGCCCAAAGCCATTAAATTTTTATCAAAATTATACCTGAAAATTCTTCATGTTGTTCATTAGCAGTCATCATCTTTACAAAGATAAAGGAAATAAAGTGATTTCCATCTGTTGCAATCTCTTGCCTTTTACAATAGACAAAATTGTTACTTTCATTAGGTTTCACAAAAGGAATGATATATAAATTATTAAAAGGCATGTTAAGTTCTTTCACCAGAGAAATTTAGATTATTCTTGCATAAAATCAATAAATATAATCCAGCACATAAACAGATCCAAAGACAAAAACCACATGATTATCTCAATAGATGCAGAAAAGGCCTTTGACAAAATTCAACAACACTTCATGCTAAAAACTCTCAATAAATTAGGTGTCGATGGGACATATCTCAAAATAATAAGAGCTATCTATGACAAACCCACAGCCAATATCATACTGAATGGACAAAAACTGGAAGCATTCCCTTTGAAAACTGGCACAAGACAGGGATGCCCTCTCTCACCACTCCTATTCAATATAGTGTTGGAAGTTCTGGCCAGGGTAATTAGGCAGGAGAAGGAAATAAAGGGCATTCAATTAGGAAAAGAGGAAGCCAAATCGTCCCTGTTTGCAGATGACATGATTGTATATCTAGAAAAACCCATTGTCTCAGCCTAAAGTCTCCTTAACCAGATAAGCAACTTCAGCAAAGTCTCAGGATACAAAATCAATGTGCAAAAATCACAACCATTCTTATACACCAATAACAGACAAACAGAGAGCCAAATCATGAGTGAACTCCCATTCACAATTGCTTCAAACAGAATAAAATACCTAGGAATCCAACTTACAAGGGATGTGAAGGACCTCTTCAAGGAGAACTGTAAACCACTGCTCAATGAAATAGAAGAGGATACAAACAAATGGAATAACATTCCATGCTCATGGGTAGGAAGAATCAATATCATGAAAACGGCCATACTACCCAAGGTAATTTATAGATTCAATGCCATCCCCATTAAGCTACCAATGACATTCTTCATAGAATTGGAAAAATAACTACTTTAAAGTTCATATGGAAACAAAAAAGAGCCCACATTTCCAAGTCAATCCTAAGCAAAAAGAACAAAGCTGGAGGCATCACACTACCTGACTTCAAACTATACTACAAGGCTACAGTAAACAAAACAGCATGGTACTGGTACCAAAACAGAGATATAGACCGATGGAAATAATGCCCTCAGAAATAATGCCGCATATCTACAGCTATCTGATCTTTGACAAAACTGACAAAAAGAAAAAATGAGGAAAGGATTCCCTATTTAATAAATGGTGCTGGGAAAACTGGCTAGCCATATGTAGAAAGCTGAAACTGGATCCCTTCCTTACACCTCATACAAAAATTAATTCAAAATAGATTAAAGACTTACATGTTAGACCTAAAACCATAAAAACCCTAGAAGAAAACCTAGGCAATAGCATTCAGGACATAGGCATAGGCAAGGACTTCATGTCTAAAACACCAAAAGCAATGACAACAAAAGCCAAAATTGACAAATGGGATCTAATTAAACTAAAGAGCTTCTGCACAGCAAAAGAAACTACCATCAGAGTGAACAGGCAACCTACAAAATGGGAGAAAATTTTTGCAACCTACTAGTCTGACAAAGGGCTAATATCCAGAATCTACAATGAACTCAAACAAATTTACAAGAAAAAAACAAACAGCCCCATCAAAAAGTGGGTGAACGATGTGAACAGACACTTCTCAAAAGAAGACATTTATGCAGCCAAAAAAACACATGAAAAAATGCTCATCATCACTGGCCATCAGAGAAATGCAAATCAAAACCACAATGAGATACCATCTCACACCAGTTAGAATGATGATCATTAAAAAGATTAAAAAGTCAGGAAACAACAGGTGCTGGAGAGGAAGTGGAGAAATAGGAACACTTTTACACTGTTGGTGGGACTGTAAACTGGTTCAACCATTGTGGAAGTCAGTGTGGCGATTCCTCAGGGATCTAGAACTACAAATACCATTTGACCCAGCCATCCCATTACTGGGTATATACCCAAAGGATTATAAATCATGCTGTTATAAAGACACATGCACATGTATGTTTATTGTGGCACTATTCACAATAGCAAAGACTTGGAACCAACCCAAATGTCCATCAATGATAGACTGGATTAAGAAAATGTGGCACTTACACACCATGGAATACTATGCAGCCATAAAAAATGATGAGTTCATGTCCTTTGTAGGGACATGGATGAAGCTGGAAACCATCATTCTTAGCAAAGTATCACAAGGACAAAAAACCAAACACCGCATGTTCTCACTCATAGGTGGGAATTGAACAATAACACATGGACACAGGAAGGGGAACATCACACACCAGGGATGGTTGTGGGGTGGGGAGAGGGGGGGAGGGATAGCATTAGGAGATATACGTAATGTTAAATGACCAGTTAATGGGTGCAGCACACCAACATGGCACATGTATGCATATGTAACAAACCTGCACGTTGTGCACATGTACCCTAAAACTTAAAGTATAATAATAATAAAATAAAATAAAACAAAAGAACTAGTTTGTTGAGTTCATTTAGGATCTAAGTTGTAAGAAATATTGCACCAGACAATTTATTTTCTGAGATGAAGCTCAAGTAAGTATGAGCACAGTATCAGGAATGACATTCATTTGTTCCCAGCTGTCTCTAGGCATTTTGCACTCTTGAAAAATACTAAGTTCCCTGGACGTGAAGAGATTCATGTATCAGTAAGAATGTGAGCCCCTTGAGTGTTCAATGTCCCTTCAAACCTTAGAAACTGTAAGTCAATGATGGTGATTCTCACATCACAAGAGTATATATAGTTAGCTTCTTTTAAAAGATATAAAAGACCCCTCTGAGTTAGCCCTGGACACATATTACTCCAACTGCCTGAATAAATGTTTAGCGATCCATACAGAATTACTCTCAATTAGATTTAGAGAAAACATTCTCTCTTTGAAGAACACTGGAATTGGGGAAAATATGGTAGAACATATAGGTTATTTTGCCTTTGTTACTTTGTAGACCTTAAATCATGGAGTGTGTTAGAACACAGTATATTTGTGACAACCATGACAGTTCAGAGAAATGCAGTGACGTCATTTACTCTGAAACTGAAAGACACTAATCTCTGCTCTGAGACCCACAAAATCAGATTGTTTGTTTTACCTGCATGATTTCTTTTTTTTTTTTTTTTTTTTTTTTTTTTGAGACGGAGTCTCGCTCTGTCGCCCAGGCTGGAGTGCAGTGGCGGGATCTCGGCTCACTGCAAGCTCCGCCTCCCGGGTTCACGCCATTCTCCTGCCTCAGCCTCCCAAGTAGCTGGGACTACAGGCGCCCGCCACTACGCCCGGCTAATTTTTTGTATTTTTAGTAGAGACGGGGTTTCACCGTTTTAGCCGGGATGGTCTCGATCTCCTGACCTCGTGATCCGCCCGCCTCGGCCTCCCAAAGTGCTGGGATTACAGGCGTGAGCCACCGCGCCCGGCCTACCTGCATGATTTCTATTCCTCTCATTTTGTTGTTCTTTTTATAAAACACCTTTGCTAAATAATAAAGTTATTACTCTAAGGTAGTGTCCAGGTCTCTTTGATAATAATGAAACGTCTATGGCCAAATCCCATTGCTTTGTTTTGACAGTGTGCTCCAAGAAAATTACTTTGATATGCCCTCTCATATTAGAATAAATACATTATACATGCCTATTGCCTACATCAAGTTTTGAATTGTACCACTTTCAGGTTTAACCTGGCCATACAGCAGATTTTCTTAATGGTTGGTGAACACGGAATAATATTTTATTCAGATAAACTATTTTGCAGAAACATTTAAAGTCAGATATTGCAGAACTACTGAGTATCTGAACTTTAAAGGGACACTCTTAACCATATTTTGTTTTATTTAGTACTCACACTGACAAGTTGATTTACCACCTCATTTTCCCAACAAGTGTCAAGATTTCAATATGCAGTTAGTGGTTTCTAAAAACGTTGACTATTTAATTACATCCTTATAGTTTCCCAAAATTGCTTATAGTTTGTCCTCATTTAGTTAGGTCTATAATATTTCTGAATTAGTGTAAAAATTTCTATGCCTTTTTAATTATCGATGCATATAATGATGTATAAAAATTATTATGTAGATAGCTCCTCCAAGAAAACTTAAAATCAAGAGCTTTTAGCATCAAAGTATCAGAATACAAACTAAAGAAAACACACCAATTTGGAAAGATTTTCTTTAAATACATTAAAGTGAATAAAATGTTCACAGAGAATAACTCACATCTAAGGATACAGACGTTTTCTTAAAGTGAAACTATTTTTGGCTCACTCAGACTCTGGGTAGTGTTTCACTGATTTTGAATTTCACTGGTCAGAACCAGTGTTGGTAGTAAGAATTACTGTCCCAGAAGAGAATGGAAATGCTTGCCAACTCTACTTTCAACCCTTGTTGGAATCCCTATGTTGTGGGTAGAGATATGACTAAATTAAGCAGTTTTAAGTCTAAGCCAGAAAGATTTAATTATTGATTTATTGGTTTTACAATTGTTAAATATTGCCTTTAACCAAGTATATGTTTTATCATGTAATAATCACTTTGGCAACCTCAAATGTCATGGGTTCACAGGGTAAATGTTAAGGTAATAGCTAAACAATTGAGAGTAAGGAGATCTAAAGTAAGTGAAAAAAATTCAAGATGTAATACAGAGTCCAATATGACAGACTTGAGAAACTTTCAAAAACTAGGAAAAGAAAACCAAAAGTCATTCTTGCCGTGTCTCTGATTGCACTGACTTGATGCAGAATTGGTGCATTAACATATGTATACATTACATACGTATACATGTGCCATGCTGGTGTGCTGCACCCATTAACTCGACATTTAGCATTAGGCATATCTCCTAATGTTATCCCTCCCCCCCGTCTCCCCACCCCACAACAGTCCCCAGAGTGTGATGTTCCCCTTCCTGTGTCCGTGTGTTCTCATTGTTTAATTCCCACCTATGAGTGAGAACATGCGGTGTTTGGTTTTTTGTCCTTGGGATAGTTGACTGAGAATGATGAATTAAAATAAAAATGCATGCACTTTCAAATGTACTTAGTGCAACATATTGAACTTAAATTCCAGTTTTCCTGGAATTACCTGTGTCTTGAGCTAAAGGCTGTATTTGATATAACAGGGAAGGAAAGAAATTATTTTTCCTATAAAATTAGTTTAAAAACACATATAATTAAACAAAATAAAAATATTATTCCATCTTTTAAAGAACATTTACTAATTCACAGATATTACCCGAAGTTTAGAAAGTCACCTAAGAACAATTGTTTAAAAATTATTTAGGGAAAATGAAGCAAAATTGTTTTCAATCTGAGATTTTAACAGCCAGTGCACTCCTGTTCCTCAGCTGAAAGTCCCCTTCATTCTGAATGTCTGCAGTAGTATTGAATTGGGGAGCAGTTAGGTTCCAGGGACATATTCACTCCTGTTTTGTTCTCCCATCAATCTCAGCCTTTCGGTGACTGTTTGGGCAAAGCCTCCCTTGTGGTAGAAGATGCCTCACTTCTGGGGAGAAGAGGCTCCTCATCTTGCAGACAAGAAGCAGCACCCACTGGTTCTTGCTCCAAAAGCCATTAACATTATAAACTGGCCAGTTGCGGTGGCTCAAACTTGTAATCCCAGCACCTTTTGGGAGGTTGAGGCAGAAGGATTGCTTGAGCCCAGGAGTTTGAGTACAGCCTTGGCAACAAAGTGAGACCCAATCTCTACAAAAACTAGAGAAAAAATAGCTGGGTGTGGTGGCACTCACCTGTACTAAGGAGGCTGGACTGGGAGGATCTCTTGAGCCCAGGTGGTTGAGCCTGCAGTGAGCCAAGATCACGCCTCTGCACTTGAGCTTGGGTGACAGAGTAAGACCCTATCTCAAAAAATAAATTATAAACTGATTCACAATAACTTTGGTTTTGTCACTAATACGCTGAATATTTTTGTTACAACTAATATGCAAAATACAAACTGGCTATCACTACCATTCTGATAATGGAATTAGCTCTCCTGCATACCTGATGACCTAATGCTTAACCTAATCTTCCTCTTTCACACTTTGATTTGGAAACTTGTTACAATAGAGTTCTTTACCTCAAAGTCTTAAGGAATTCAAGACAAGACTAGAGTATGTTAAGATACCACAAAAAAATGTACATAGCAAGAGATTTCTTGAGTAAGCAAATTTTATACATATAAAAATAATTTACATGCAAATGACTAAGAGGAAATGTTAAGTGACTCTGGTGTAAATAATTAGTTTTCTGATTCTGCCAGAGCATATTAAGAAAAATTCACTTTGGCAAAATTATATGGATTTAAAGAAGTAACAAGTGGGTTTCTCTAAAGTACAGTTTGGCTTTTTACTAGAATATCAAGTCACTTTTTTGGGTGAGGAGAGTACAATGGGTATGGGCAGCTGGTGAAAATAAACAATTAAAATTACTTAAAACTTCAACAAATGGGATCTGTATTTAAACCTGTTTTGGTCTATCTTCCCTTTGTTTTTTCTAATCCCAACAATGCAAACCTCAGCCACTGTCAAGGGCAATCTCAGACTGGAGGTTGCTGCCTAGGGTGAGGTTCTAGGAAGACTTACAAGCAGAGCTTGGGGAAATGTCTGCATGGGAAAACAGAGCCAGACTTAGAAGGCAATGCTGATGAATCCCATTTTCTTACTACAGAAGAGCTAGCAAAAACTGCAATATGATGTGTAAAGTCAGTGTAATCTTATGGACATTATACCAAGTCACAACATGAGGCATGAGATACCTCAGATGTTGTTCCCTCTAAATCTCATGTTGAATTGTGATATCCCCAATGTTGGTGGTAGGTCTGGAGGGAGGTGATTGGATCATGGGGGTGGATTTCTCAGAAATGGTCTAGCGTCCTGTCCCTGGTGCTGTCCTTGTGATAGTGAGTGAATTCTTTCAAGATCTATTTGTTTAAAAGTGTGTGGTGCTTTCCCTGCCTTGCCAGGTGTTGTGCCTGCCTGCTCCTTCTTCAACTTCTGCCATGAATAAAAGCCTCCTGAGGCCTCACCAGAAGCTAGGCAGATGCCAGAACCATGCTTGTACAGACTGCAGCTATAAAAACCTCTTTTCAAACCTATTTTCTTTATAAATTACCCAGTCTCAGGCATTTCTTTATAGCAATGTAAGAATGGCCTAATACAGAAAATTGGTACTGAGACATGGGGCATTGCTATAAAGATACTTGAAAATGTGGAAGTGACTTTGGAACTGAGTAATGGGCAGGAGTTGGAAGAGTTTGGAGGGCTCAGAATACAGGAAGATGAAGGAAAGTTCTGAATTTCTTAGAGACTAGTTAAATGGTTGTGACCAAAATGCTGATAGTGGTATGGACAGTGAAGGATAGGGTGATGCAGTCTCAGATGGAATTGAGGAACTTACTGGGACTTGGAATAAAGGTCATGCCTGTTATGCCTTTGCAAAGAACTTGGCTACAGTCTTTTCATGTACTAGGGATCTGAGGAAGTTTGAACACTCAGACGCAGGAGCAAAAAAATGACTTAAAGTTGGAATTTACAATTAAATGGGAAGCAGACCATACAAGTATAGAAAATTTGCAGCCTGCCCATTTGGCAAAGGAAGATAAAGCATTTTCAGGGGAAGAATCTAAACAGGCTGCGGAGCAACCACTTATTAGAGACATTTGCATAACTGAAAAAGCTAGGTGCTGATAGCCAAGAAAATTAAAAAAAGGCCTTGAAGGCATTTCAGAAATCTTTGCAGCAGCTCATCCCACCACAGACCTAGAGGTCTAGGATAAAAGAATGGTTTCTTTTGTAGTGGGATTTTAAAAATTAATTTACTTATTAATTTATTTATTTATTTTGAGATGGAGTCTCACTCTGTCACCCAGGCTGGAGTGCAGTGGCACAATCTCAGCTCACTGCAAGCTCTGCCTCCTGGGTAATTTATTTATTTATTTTGAGATGGAGTCTCACTCTGTCACCCAGGCTGGAGTGCAGTGGCACAATCTCAGCTCACTGCAAGCTCTGCCTCCTGGGTACATGCCATTCTCCTGCCTCAGCCTCCCAAGTAGTTGGGACTACAGCTGACTGCCACCATGCCTGGCTAATTTTTTGGATTTTTAGTAGAGATGGGTTTTCACTGTCTTACCCATGATGGTCTCAATCTCCTGACCTCGTGATCTGCCCGCCTTGGCCTCCCAAAGTGCTGGGGTTACAGGAGTGAGCCACCATGCCCAGGCTGTAGCGGGATTTTTTAAGGAATCAGAGACACCAATAGGGTTGAGGAAGATATTTATTATTTAGGTGCACCGGCCCAGTCAGATTAACATCCAAAGGACTGAGTCCTGAACAAAGATTCAAGTTACCTTTTAAGCGTTTTGTGGGGTGGTGGGGAGTGGGGGAGATCTGTGCACGGGGAAGCATATTACAGAAGCGAGAAACAAAGACAGTTATTCAATTAATTGAGACATGCATTATATTATTTCTTACTTTTCAAGGAAAAACATGTTTTACGACTTGAGTTTCTCTGTCTAGTGAACTTGCAGCTGCACAGCTAGAGAAACAGGTTCTTCACAATGCCTGGGAAAGGAGGAGAGATGAGGCTCACTAGCCACAGCAAAACAGGCAGTTAATTTTTAAAGGACTCCAGCTCTTTCTGTTTCTCAGGGGGAATTGGGTTTTCTCACATACAGCTGAGTTTCTGCTTACACATTTTTTAATTTCTTTTAATTCCTGTTCCACTTGGTCCAGGGCCAGGGCATCACTGCCCTGTACCACCTCCAGGAGGGAGTTCCTTGCATCCTGGCCCTTCTAGCTCCAGGCTTGGTTCAAAGGGCTGCAGATAGAGCTCAGGCCATTGCTTCAGAGGGTGCAAACTATAAGCCTTGGTGGCTTCCATGTGGTGTTAAGCCTGCAGGTGATCAAAGTGCAAGAGTGAAGGAAGCTTGGCATTCTCTGCCTAAATTTCAGAGGATGTATGAGAAAGGCTGGATGCCCAGAGAGAAGCCTATGCACAGCTGGAGCCCTCAAAGAGGACCTCTTCTAGGACAGTGCCAAGTGGTAATGTGGGATTGGAGGCCCCACACTGTGGGGGCTGCCTAGTGGAGCTGTGGGAGGGGGGGCTGCTGACCTCCAGATCAAAGAATGATAGAGCCACCAGCAGCTCCTGTCTTCAGTGTAGAAAAGCTGTGGGAGCAGAGCTGCCCAAAGCCTTGGGAGCCCACCCTATGCATCCTGGTAATGCTCTATGTTCCCAGGATGTGGGACATGGTTTCAAAGGAGATTATTTTGGAACATCGAGATTTAATGACTGCCCTGCTGGGATTTGAACTTGTGTGGGGCCTGTAGTCCCTTTCTTTTGGCCAATTTATCTCATTTGTAATGGGAAAGTTTACCCAATGCCTGTATCCCAGTTTTATCTTAGAAGTCAATAACTGGTTTTGATTTTACAGGCTCATTGGTGGAAGGGACTTGCCTTGTCTCAGAAGAAACTGCACTTTCGAGTGATGCCAAAACAGTTTGAGACTTTTGGGGGACTATTGAGAAGGGATGATTGTATTTTGCAATGTGAGAAGAACATGAGATTTGAAGGGCCAGGGATGGAATGAAATAGTTTGGATGTTATACCCTTTAAGTCTCATGTTGAATTGTAATTCCCACTGTTGGAGGTGGGGTCTGTTGGGAGGTGATGGGGTCATAAGGGCTGATTTCTCATGTTTAGCACCATCCTCTTGGCACTGTCCTTGCAAGAGTGAGTGAGTTCTCATGATATCTGGCTGTTTAAAAGTGTGTGGCACCTCTCCCTGCTTGCTCCTGCTCTGGCCATGTGACATACCTTCTTTTGCTTCACCTTCTGCCATGTGTAAAAGCTCCCTGAGGACCCTTCTTGAAGCCAAGCAACTGCCAATGCAAAGCTTCCTGTACAGCCTGCAGAATTGGGAGCCAAGTCAACCTTTTTTTTCGGTATAAATTACGTAGTGCTTAGGTATTCCTTTATAGAACTGTCATAGTACAATTATAGCAAGAATGTCATAATACAAGGCATAATGGTTTGCATTTTAAAAATGAAAATTAAATTTATGTAATTTATCATGAAAGGATGAAATGAGTTAATAATGAGTAATATCTACATGTTGTCTTAGAGGTGCTGACAATCTGTCAAGGAATTACATGCACGGATCAAGCAGTTTACCTTCAAGTTGAATAACAAGGTATTCCTATCTAACATAACAAAATTTTGACATTATTTGGGAGACTGGAAATAATGCTAAGTAATATCAGATTGTCAAAGTCAAATAAATATAGAGACAAACATCTGAAATTAAAATGTTTTATTTGAGATACAAGTATAACAATTTCACACATACATGCAGAATGGGTGTCTTTAGTATGTCCAAAAGATAAAGAGAAAGTTAGAGGTTTTATAAAAACGGGAGACAGAGAGAAAAACGGTATGTATTTCTCTTTGAGAAAGTTCACTGGCACCAGTAAGGTTTTTAAGAGCTGGTAGGCTCTGATAGGTGAGGGACAGTGGTGGGTAAAGCTAGTCTTAGTGTTCAAGAGGTTGTTGCAGTAACCATTTGATAAAACTGGCTTCAGCTTAAAGCAGGTAATTTCAGCAGCCAGGCATGAAGAGAATTACGCTTTTGGAGTGGTGTTTTTGCCCTGAATGCCTCCTCCCCCTGGCTTCTTGATGGTTTTATTTGGTGTGACAAGAATGACCCAATTCATATGATCAATTTTTACATTTACCCCTTTCCATCAAGAACTTTCTCTTAAAGCATCAACCATGTTTATAGTTGTACAACTACAAGTTAGGCTTAATCATCACTTAGTGCTAGGATGGACCTGTCTCAGTTGCTCCATCCCACATCTGGGAAAGGTATGGAGGTCTACATCAGGTCTATGTCAAGATTTATGGCCTAAAATGTCTATCCAAGGAAAAAATAAAACTGACCAGTAATCCCAGGAGAGAAACATACCTTGGCAAATTCGAAGATATTTCTAATTTTATTTAACAATTTTAAAATTAATTAATGTATCAAAGATTCACCCAACTCATGTCAAACAAAATATGTTTGGGTTAATTAATATATATTTTATATGGACATTCCTTTATTTAAAACATCCTTTTTTCCTAGAATGATGGATTAGGGGATTTCAGTGTGCCTCAGCCAGTTGGAAGTAGAAAAATAAGCATAAAGATAAACTTTGTGAACTTCAATTCAAGAAGAAAAATAGGAATTCACAGGAATAGAAAAGAACATTCCAGACACTGTGGAAGGGGAGGTGGGAAGGCAGCCTCTGTTATAACATTTGGTTCATAAAAGGGAGTGAAACACCAGTACGAGAGAAGAGCAGCCAGTCTCCCTCTGCAACTCACCTTTCCACTGGGGATCTGTGCAATCCAGATTAAGGGAGAGCACTCTGTTTCTCCCAAGCCTTGGAGCTAGCACAAAAGAGGCTGAGATATGGGGAAAGAGGAAAGACACTCAGAAAAGCTGCAGGCATTTCCCCAGACCTGGGACTGAGAGAAGGATGCCCTTTTTAATCTGGGCTCATACAAAGTCAATCATTGTTTTGTGCCTGGCAATGATGGCCACTGCAGACACTTTAATCTTGGGCTAGGAATTGGAGTGCTTGCTCTGGAGCAGGGGAGCAGCCTCCACCGCCAGAATTGAGTGTTGAGTATGGAAAGTGCCCCAGGAGTAGGTGTTGGAATTAGGCTCTCTCCTCTTGCAGGACTGTAGTGGGAAGAGAGTTCCTAAAGCAGAGGTTTCTCAAGGATGGTGAGACTTGCAGCCAAGAACAACTTTGCAACCTGGAACTGGTCTGTGTGTGTCATTGCTGGGTGTCCCAGCCTACTCCCTTGGTCAGTTGACAGAGTACTCCATCAGCTCCAAGAAACAGGAGGGAGGTGAACCCCATTCCCCAGGAGACCTAAACTTTGGTGGGGACCAGCCCTAAGGGAAGGAGGAATACAGCTTGCCAAACCCACCCCTTGGATAAAAGGAAACACGATCATGACATCAGCTGCTGAAAGGGGCACACCAAAGCCTGGGAACAGATTTAGAGAGGTAGTCATCTCTTGCCCTCTGTCCCCTTCCTAGTGCACTGCTGCAGACCCAGCAGTGGTCATCCTGTTGGGGCCCAAGGAACGTGGGCTGAAAGAGGCTGCTTCTTAGGTTTCTCCAGCAGCTCTGCCCCTGCTGAAGACTAGTACACACTGGGACAGGGCGCTTTTGGCACTTTGTCACTTCTGTACCTGTCGAGGACAAGTACACAGAGGAGAAGACCCTGCAGCCAGCTGTCACTCTTAAGCACTGTTTACTGGACTGAAGCCTTGATTACACCACCAAACAAAAATACATCACCACACCACGCCACCACAGGAGCCTATCTGCAACCAAGGAACTTGTACAGAGCCTTGGTCCTCTGAAAGTACCCAGAAATGAAGCAAATTGATCCTATACAACACACACCACAGTCATACCCTTAAGAAAAAGAAAGAATGAAAAATTAAAAAAAAAACTCCTTCCAAATGATAGCAAGTTCAGCAAAAGTAGCATCAAGTCTCTCAGATGAGAAGAAACCAGCACAAGAACTCTGGCAATACAAAAAGCCAGAATGTTCCATCACCTCCAAAGGATTACACCAGCAATCTAACAAAGAGTCCTAACCAGAATGAAACATCTGAAATGACAGGTATAGTATTCAAGATATAAGTGGCAAAAAGAAAAATCACCAAAATCCAACAGAAAGTTGAAATCCAACAACAAACCCATAACAACGATCCTGGATTTGAATGACAACATAGCCATATTAAGAAAGAACCAAGCAGAGCTTCTTGCATTGAGAAATTTACTATAGGAATTTCAAAAAACAGCTGGCAGCCTTAGCAACAGACTAGACCAAATAGAAGAAATAATTTAAGAGCTCAAATACCAGACCTTTGAATCAACCGAGTCAGACAAAAATAAAAAAAGAATTTAAAAATAATGAACCAAACTTTTGAGAAATGTAAGATTATGTAAAGGAACAAAATCTATGACTTATTGGCATTTTTTTTTTGAGACAGAATCTCACTCTGTTACCCAGTCTGTAGTGCAGCTGCATGATCTTGGCTCACTGAAACCTCCACCTCCTTGATTCAAGTAATTCTCATGCCTCAGCCTCCCAAGTATCTGAGATTACAGGCGTGTGCCAGCATGCCTCAGTAATTTTTGTATTTTTAGTAGAGATGGGGTTTCACCATGCTGGCCAGGTTGGTCTCAAATTTCTGGCCTCGGGTGATCCTCCCACCTTGGCCTCCCAAAGTGCTGGGATTACTGGCATGAGCCACTGTGCGTGGCTGACTTATTGGCATTTCTAACAGAGAAGAAGAGAAAGTAATCAACTTGGAAAACGTTTTTGAGAACATAATTCAGGAAACTGTCCTCAATCTTGCTAAAGAGGTCGACATGCTGATACAAGAAATCCAGAGAACTCCCGTGAGACTGAAGGTAGACAGTGAAGCAAATGCTTGCTTTCTTGTGTGGCTCTGATTAGCATCAGGATATCTACATTTTACATAGGAAAGGAGGGAGCAGAGGAAACAGTTATGCATTCATCTCGCATTCAGTAAATCTCCATTTTACGTAAGATAAAGTAAGCATGTAAATAGAGGGAGTGGAGTAAAGGAATACTCAATGATTCATTCATCTCAGGATAGGCAGAGGGATGATTTCTCGTCCTGACCTTGTCCCAGAACTATGAAAATAAGCTGGTAATTGAGATTCTCAGGGTGAAATTGAGCCGACTCACTTTTAGGGATAGTTTACAGGTGGGATGTGCATTCTGAAAAATTTAGGGGCTCACAGCAAACTGTGAGGGAGGACATCTGAAGAGACATGCGGCCTTCTGTCACTGTGGGAACCTCGCTTATGGATGAGGCTATGACACAGGGTTGTGAAGTTATAACTATGTGTTTGAGAACAAGGAAAGCAGTATTGCATAACTCAGTTCCCAAGCTTAATTTTCCCTTTGACACAGTTAGCTTGGGGTTGGGGTCTCTATTCTCTTTTCTCTCACAAAATCATATGGGAACATTCCAGAAAATGTGAGGTTCTGTGCTCACTATTAAATAAAAATGACCAGGAGAGCCATGGGTAAGCTCCCTCCTCAGTCATCAGGACCCCAACAGAGAGTTTTCCCCTGTGTGGACAGGGTCCTGAATTCTACAGGATCCCGTGGGGACACAAGTGTCAGGATAGAGACATTCATTCAGCCAGGCACAGTGTCTCACACCTGTAATGTCAGCTACACTGGAGGCTGAGGTCGCCTTGAGGCCAGGATTTCAAGACCAGCCTGGACAAGATAGCAAGATCCCATATCTAAGAATAAAATTAGCCGGGTGTGGTGGCATGCACCTGTAATCCTAGTTACTTGGGAGGGAGGCTGAGGTGGGAGGATTGCTTGAGCCTAGGCGTTGGAGGCTACAACGAGCTAGGATTACACCACTGCACTCCAGTCTCGGCAACAGTAAGATTTCGTATGTAACAACAACCAAACTATTCTGTGTTTTGAGTGTAAATTACCATAGCCATTGTAACAGAAATTAGGCAGCAACTCTTAACATTCAAAATGCATAAGCAATTTGGCTAAGCAATTGTACTTGTAGATTATTTATTTATTTATTTATTATTGGGACAGAGTCTCACTCCGTCCCCCAGACTGGAGTGCAGTGACATGATCTCAGCTCACTGCAACCACTGCCTCGTGGGTTCAGGCAATTGTCCTACCTCAGCCTCCCGAGTAGCTGGGGCTACAAGTGCGCATCACCATACCCAGCTAATTTTTGTATTTTTTGTAGAAATGGGTTTTTGCCATGTTGGCCAGGATGGTCTCAAACTTCTGACCTCAGGTGATCCACCCACCTCGACCTCCCAAAGAGCTGGGATTACAGGCACTAGGTCCCTAATTTAGAGCCATATTCTTTAATGTCTAAAAGCACTCTTGCATATTTATTACTGCATTGTTTGAACTTAAATATCCACAACAGGATAACAGGATAATTAAACAATTTATTGCACTATGGCACATCCATCTGTTAACAAAATGAAATCGATCTTTCTGTACTGCGGTGGAATGATTTTCTGAACATAGTTCAGGTAAAAAAAAGACCACTGTTGAATAATGCTTCTGGTATAACACAATGTGTTTGAAAATGTACACAATACTCTGTAATATCCAATGCATACATCTATCAAAGTAAATATATTTTATTCTAGGGTAATTATTAAAACATTAAGAAATACTCTTTAATCATATATGTTAAAACTTGTAGAAAATCAATAACATACAAGTAAAGAAGTTCAAGAAGCCAAAAAAAGTAATTCCGAGTGTAGAAAGCATGGTGAGAAGTGATGGAACAAAACTGCAGAAATTTAAAATGCAAAATTAAAATACATAATTCTTAATTAAAATACATAATTCTTCATTGAACCCCGAATCTGTCAGGATGTATGTGTGATCTTGGACAACACATTCAACCTCCTCACACTGAATTTTCTTGAGTGTAAACTGTTTTAGAGATGTTCCTCACCCGGTTGCATGAAGCATATCTGTGTGTGTTAAGGCACTTCCCACAGCATCTGCGACACAGAACAGTGACAGCTGTGCTCTTCGTGGTCCCTGCACACAGGCCCACAGCAGTATATTGTGTGTTTTTTTTTTTATATAAAAGCTTTGAAAATGCCCCACAGCTTCCTCAGTAACTGACTGTCAAGAGGGGCAGCCTTCAAAAGTAGAATTCTGGCAAAGGTCTTCAAAAGACACGAAATTCTGGCAACGGGCCCATTTCCCTCTAGCCTTGCTCTTCTGGATGCATCCATTCTCTCCCACAGCATAGTCGTTTTCTTCCACTCCACTGTAGAGACTGTCCTTCTAGTGGCAACAGTGATTTGAGTGATATGCGGAAATTTCTTTCCAAGCCTGTTGGAGAAGCGTCCTCTGCCTGCTTCTTTTTGGCCACCTCCTGCCATGGTAAGAGCAGAGGGCCTCCAGGGCTGCTCTGTCACCCCCAACAGCATGGACCTCACTGCAGTCACTCCGGAAGCTTCCCTCTAAAGGAAGCTTGTGCAGGAAACATCATGCATGGAGCAGCATGGGGACAGGGGCTGGCCAGCTGGGCAGGTCTCACACTCCTGACACTCAGACTCCACGATACTCCTCTGTCCCCACCCAGGGCAGATCCCTGCCCTAAAACTTTCCCCCCTCATGTCCAGCAAATGCTGCATGGAGCCCTGGAATTCTATGTGGAAAGCTAGGAAGGGGGAGAGCTGAAATGAAGATGTAATCACCCTTTCCAAAGAGGTCAGTCCGGTACTAAGCTGTGCTCCTGGGCAAGCTCTCCAGGCTGAGGGAACAGGAGCAGGGGTTATGTTGGGTGAAGGTGGAAGTGAGGGACCTCCCAGGAGGTGTAGAATATTCCACTAGGGACACCTCATACCCTTCGAGGATTAGACCTTGAGGCCTGGAGATCCCCAGGCAATTAGTATTGAAGGTCGAAAGGCCAGTGACAGGAATAGGAAGGCCCACTGTGTCATTCACAAAGCACTTCCAAACCCATCATCACAGGTGACCCTCACAACAACCCTGTGAGACCTGCAGGGCAGGGGCTCTCACAAAGGAGGAGTCAGGAATGTCAAGACTTTAACACCTTCTCCAAGTCAGGATCAGGAAATGCTGTCCCAGCCCTGACCTATATTCCCTATGCTTCCTCCCACAAAACAGCTTAGGGTGACTGCCAACTTGTGGGCAGAGACCCTCACTTTCCAATCCCCACAAGGGGCTGTGCAGTGGGGAGGATGAGGCCCCCTCCTCTGACTGTCTCCTCCAAGACCCTGTTTTCTGAGGAAGGTCACTCTGGGAACTGTTGGCCTCTGCAGATGGGGGCCTGGACCGTGTGGAAACACGACGTGAAGGTCACACCTGGCAGGCACCAGTGCTGGAGGGCAAACCTCACCTTTAAAAACTCACACTTTTTATTTTAAATTTATTTTTATTTTTAATTTATATGAGTACATGGTAGGTGTATATATTTATGGGGTACATGAGATAGTTTGACACAGGCATGCAATGTGTAATAATCACATCAGGGTAAATGGGGCATTCATCACCTCAAGCAAGGGAAATGCCAGATGCTTATAAAACCATCAGATCACATGAGAACTCACTTACTATCATGAGAACAGCATGGGGGAAACTGCCGCCATGATTCAGTTACCTCTCACTGGGCCTCTCCCATGACACATGAGGATTACGGAAATTACAGTTCAAGATGAGATTTGGGTGGCTACACAGCCAAACCATATCACCTTATAAAATTAATAAAGTGGAAATAGCAGCGGGCCTGAGTCCTGGCACCTGCCTTGTGATGCCCCCTCTTGAGGAGGGCCTGGCTTCTGTGCCATGCAGAAACTTTCCTGTGCTTCCTGTGGGCTTGGGGTGAGCCAGGTCCTCCTGGGGGAGCTGGGCACTTGTGGGACAGGAGGGTCCCTGGCCTGGGGGGTCCATTTGCCTCCTTACCCCATCAACAAAACACCGGAGGAGCCAACTCAACAAACCTCAATGTACGGCCCTTCCTGGACCCTAGGTGTTCAGGGCCCCCTGAGCTGCCCTGGGCAGAACACTGGGCAGTGGCCAGTGCTTCCCCAACAACTCCCCCATGCACAGATGCCTGGTGGACACACTTCCCTTAACCATGCTCAGCTGGAGCTCAGCCCCCATCCTAGTACCTCTGCCTTCTCCTCCAGGGCATGAAAAGGAAACCCAACTCCAAACCCATGGAGAATCCTCATCTTGGGTGAGGCCCTGGCTGGGACTCAGCCCCTTGTCAGGCCCTCGAGGAGCTCCATCTTCCCCTGTTTCCCTGCCACATGGGACCCAGGGCCTGTGGGAAAGAGTTGAGGGTGTTGTCCACTCAGCAGGTACTGCATGATCTTTGGGAAGGATTTGTGTTATACCTGCTCCTGGTAGGATAGAAGGCTCCGGAGCTGGGGAGTATTTGGGCTGTAGAAAACTGAGAAGCCCCTGACCCATCATGCATCAGAGCCCACTCCCAAGATGTGGAGCCGTCAGCTGGAAGAGCTGGGCAGTGGCAGGGGACCCCGCACCGTGAGGCCTTCCTCCTTTCCATCAGGTGACCCTAATATGTGGCCTCAGCTCTAGGGAGGTGGGCCCTAGCTGGAGGCACTGCACAGCAGCATCCTGGGTAGAGGTGCCAGGAGGGCAGGCCTGCCTTTGAGGTTATGAGGAAGGGCTGAGGCAGGCAGTGGCCAGTGGAGGGAACGGGGTGGGTACCGAGGGACTACATGGCCATCTCCTGGACATGGGGTCTGGCTGGGGGACATGAGATGGGCAGACACTGCCATCTTGATTTCATTGGCCCATCTGTGGGCTGGGAGGCCAGCTGGCGGTGTGGCCAGCTGGGAGGTAGGAGGACTCTTGGGGAAGGGAGAGTCACCTGCATGAACTCAGGGCTAGAGGGCTGTGGCTCTGGGACACACAGGGTGGCCAGGGGGAGGCTGCAGCGCCCTCTGCTGTTGGGAATGAAAGGTGTCTGCCTTGAAGTGAAAGGGTCCCTGTTCAGTTCTGGGTTCCTGTGGGACCCTCAGCAGGGATATCCTGAAGGCTCCTAACAAGCTGGAAAGCAAGGATGGTGCCTTGCCTGGAAGTCAGGATCGCCCAGCCAGGGTGGCCATCCCATGGCCTGGCTGTGTGAGGCCCTGGGGGTAGTTGTCCGCCTACCCTGCAGGGAGTGTCCCTCCTCGGCCATCAGCTGATCCAGTGCCCAGAAGGTGTCTTCCTCTGGCAGATACAGGAGGAGGATGGCAGTTAGGCAGCTCATGTCCCTGTGGTAGCCCACCTCCTGCAAGAGCCAGAGTCACCATGGAAGCATGTCACCTGAGAGGGATGAGGCCTTCTGGGAGGACTCGTGTCACTGGAGAGGACAGAGGTCACCTGGGAGACCTCCCTCAGGCCCTAGGGGATTTAGGGCACAGACTCTGCACCCCTCCCCTGACCCTGGACATGAGGGCTAAGCAAGTCCCCCACAACTCAGTTGAAAAGGGACCTGTAGGGACTTCTGCAGTGAGTGTCCAACCTCACATGGTCTGAAGGGGCACAGGCAAGGGTCATTCACATCCCCTATCATGGGCCAGGCTGGAAAGGCCAGTGTGCCAGGCCTGGGGAAGCACCTGTGAACTGCACCTACCACAAGGGCAGGCGGTGGGCCACTGATCACCACACAATGGATCGTGTGATGGCCCAGGAGCTGCCTGCCAGGCACAGGAGGGCAGCTGGGTCCAGACCCTATGTGAGCAGCCCGTGGAGTGATCTCAGCAGCTCTCCCTGTCTGGAATGGTCTGGGAAGTGGGGGCCAAGCAGGAACAGCCACCTGGGTGACCTCCTCCCTGTCTACTGTTCTCTTACGGGGTTAAGGCAAAGGGGAAATTGGATCCCTGCCAGGTTTCCAATAAAGAGGCTTCCTCAGGATTCAAACTCATTTCATGAGAAGAGCCTGGCCCCATCAGGCACCTCAGCAACTTGTCAAACATGTCTCTTGCAAGGACTATCCTGTGTGCAACACTGCTAAGCTCCTTGTTTTGGGCAGCACCAGGAGGGGAGGGTCATTTCTTCTTCTGAGACATGGTGGTTGGGTCCAGGTGACATCCACAGTCTGGGCCCTGACCCCTTTCACTCTCAGCGGGACCCCTTGAGACACCAGCTTCCCTTCCTTGCTTGGGTGTCCACACCAGCAGTTCTACCTACTACATCATTACAGCCAGATCAGGATCAATGTCCTCTCTCTGGAATAAATGCAGTGACCACTGTTCTTTGAGCATTATTTATCTTAAATTATTGTTTTAATTAGAAATGTATTTCACTTATATTAGCCAAATTTCCTTTCAATGTAACCAAATTTCTTTTAAGTGAAAATTAAATATTTACCTTCTGCTATCAAGCATTCTATGTACACAAAATGTTTATTTTTTTCAACTTTAGAAAAAATTGAAAATGTCTACATGCTACTAATCTAAAAATACAGGCTCTGGGTTTATATGGTGTTTATCTTTCTTCCAAATTTTAAGGAATAGATACTTAAATGGCATCCACTTTGTTTTAAAATACATAAAATGTTTTAAGCTTTTGACCTCAAAATTTACAGTAGCAAAGCTACTCCGTAATGAATAAACCACAGAATCAAAACAAAGAAAGATTCCACAGACCAGTCTAACCAACAATACAATTATAAACTAGTTGTTCAAATATCAAAAACCAATTTCAATGACAAATGAATGGTATGAAAACCCCGCAAATGTCAAGTAGAATATATTATACTTGAATGAAATCATGAGTTGAGAGTAGGAAATCTAGGTTTAACCAAGCAAATTAAATAATGTTTATGAGGAAATTATACTGCTAATGTTTTATTATTTGGCAAGCTATTCAGTGGAAGACAAAGATATTCTTAACGAAGTCGAAAATATATTTTAAAATGTTACTGAAGTGGATTAAAAAATAATGAGGACATGAATAACTTTTAAAAGTATTCGGCGATAAAGAGAGAAAAATAAATTTAGATTTCATACATACATAAAATATATTTAAAAAGTTGTGTTTTCTGGTTGCTCAAATAAAAGGAGCAGATATTTAAATTCCATGCCTTTCATTTTAAAGTTTAGGAAATGCTTATAGCTTTCCACACTGACATTTATACTGACACAGTTAATCTAATCGAGTGATAACAAAATCAAAACAAGCAGAATTCTCTTGAGCAATCTATTTTCTTGATTTTTAAAAGTCAATGTACTCTCAAAGAAACAAAACTCTTATTCGTGGATTCTGTTATTTGAAAACATTTACTGATCATTTACCTTACAGCAAGTGATCTCCAGCTCGTGGAAAAATATGTAAAGTTGCCCAGCTGCATTAAGCTTAAACTCTTCTGAAGGAGAAAAGAAGCAATGGAGTAGGGACATTAAAGCAGGAGTGTGGTGATATGGCTGAGACTTCTACTTGCACACTGTGGTAGCTGTGTGGAGAATGGATTGAAAAAAGGGCAATGACAGAAGCTTAAATTAGTATCAAATATGGCAATCCTGTAAATTTAGGTGTCCTTGAAATAAGAAAAATGTATAATAGTTCTCATTATTTCCCCAAGAAATCTCTGCACTTGGCCTTGTGAGGGAAGCGCTATAGTTACCAAGTGGTGGGGGTGGGAAGGTGAATTTGAAACAACATTTGGAATTACTACACTTTAAAGGTAAAGCTGACAGGAATTCCATACACGTCAGATCTGAAAATGTGTGTGTGTGTGTGTGTGTGTGTGTGTGTGTGTGTGTGTGTGTGTCTGTCTGTGTGTGTTTGTGTGTGTGTGAAGCAGGGAGAAAGAGCAAGAGTGAAAGTGAGCAAGAGAGAGAGGAGAGAGAGGGAGAGAATCAGACAGATACAGAAAGAGATTGACAGAGCTACAGAGACAGAATTGAAAGGGGACACCAAGAATATTGAGCTGAGAAACTATAAAATGGGAGTTGCCATTAAACAGAATGGGGAAGAGCAAATTTGGGGAGTTTCAGTGGCTCAATATAGACATATTAATTTTGAGATTCCTAACTGACATCCACGTGGATAAGTCAGGGAGTGTTGGGTGTAGTGTCCAGTGTTTAGGTGTAATATGAAATATCAGGAAATTAATGACACAAACATTAGTAAGAAAGCAAAGATAAGAAGTCGAAGTCCTGAGCCTAATGGTCCTCTAACATTTAAAAAATAGAAAAGATGAAACCTGCAATAAAGGACTAGGGGTAATTATCAAAAACATGGTGGGGGAAAAGTAGGTTAAGTATTCTGGAATTCTATAAAAAAGTTTTACAAAGAGAAGGTGGAGATCAACTGTGTGAAATGCTGCTGATATATAAATTAAGACGAAGGCCGAGGAGTTATGGTTCAATTTATAGTTTAACAATATGGATAGCACTTATGTTTTAATACGAGCAGCTTCGTTGGAGTGAGTAGGTGAGAAATCATATTGGAGTGGTTGCTGAAATGAAAGTCTGATCTCTGGATTCTTAAGGAAAAATTTTATTGGACTGCAGAGACATAAATTGGATTTTTAATTCTGGAGTCAGGATGTGCTCAGTAAACATGTGCCCATTAATGCCTCCTCACATTTTTTTAGCTCGGTATTCTGTTATCTTTTAATAATATAATAATGACTTGCAAAACCTACACCCATTTTGCAGCAAACCGTGACACATGTATACCTGTGTAACAAACCTGCATGTTCTGCACATTTATCCCAGAACTTAAAGTATATATATACACTTTATATATATATATATATTCTCTCTCTCTCTCTCTCTATCTCTCTCTATATATAGAGAGAGAGACAGAGAGAGAGACAGACAGACAGACAGAGAGAGAGAGAAAGAAATCCCAGCCAAGTGCGGTGGCTCATGATTGTAATCCCAGGGCTTTGGGAGGCTGAGACAGGTCGACCATCTGAGATCAGGATTGAGAACAGCCTGGCCAACATGGTGAAACCCTGTCTTTACTAAACATACAAAAATTAGCTGGGTGTGGTGGGGGGCACCTATAGTCCCAGCTACTTGAGAGGCCAAAGCAGGACAATCACTTGAACCTGGAAGGCAAAGACTGCAGTGAGCTAAGATCATGCCACAGCACTACAGCCTGGGTGACAGGGTGAGACTGCCTCAAAAACAAAAGCAAAAAACCCTTTTAATTGACAAATTTTACAAAGACTGATACTAGAGGTTGTTGGACAGGCCGTTGTCCCACATAATATCTTAAGAGTTGCCGATGCACAAGTAAGGTGGTAAAATGCCTTTGAAAAACTGACCATACCTGCTATACTTTAATATTCAGATACAAAACTCCCAGAAATTCCATCTTGTCATTTATTTCCACAAGAAAAAACAAGAGACCTGTATTAAAATATCCATTTCTATTAAAATTAATCACACTAGGTTTCTTCAAATTTTTTTATTAGTAGCTCTTGTTTTCAGCAGTACAATTTCTAATATATATGTGTATATATATTTAATATATATATGCACATATACATATATTATATATGTATATATATTAGATATATATGTATATTATGCATTTACATATATGTATATATTATATATGTATGTCTATATGCACATATGTGTATGTTATATAGATACAAATATGTATATATGTTATATATATACAAAAATGTATATATGTTATATAAATACACAAATGTATATATGTAATATATATACATATTATATGTATATATGTAATATATATACATATTATATGTATATATGTAATATATATACATATTATATGTATATATGTAATATAAATACATATTATATGTATATATATACATAATAATATGTATATATATTAGAGTTTTGCTCTTGTTGCCCAGGCTGGAGTGCAATGGTGCAATCTCGGCTCACTGCCACCTCCACCTCCCGGGTTCAAGCGATTGTCCTGCCTCTGCCTCCCAAGTACCTGGGATACAGGCATGTGCCACCACCCTCGGCTAATTTTGTATTTTTAGTAGAGATTGGGTTTCACTGTGTTGGTCAGGCTGGTCTCAAACTCCTGACCTCAGGTGATCCACTTGCCTCGGCCTCCCAAAGTGCTGGGATTACAGGTGTGACCACTGTGCTCGGCCTATTTTGTATTTTTTAATCTACAACACTCTAAGAACACATATTTTAAATAAATTTGTACATTCAGTGCCTAGAACAAAACCAGCATTTTGTAGATTCCAAAGAATTATTTGTTGTATAAATGATGAATAACTTAAATAAGTTATCATTTATAACATCTATATACAAACAATATATTACCTGAGAATACAGTGATAACATTTGTTATGTATAAAATGATTGCAATCTCAGTTAAAAAATATTTTTTGCATGAGTTATTGTCATATGCAGATGCTCACATTGTTTTGTTTAGATGAAAATGTTTGTAACTACTATGCACATTTTTGTTACTTAAGCCTTTTGGTCTTGCTGCCGTAGCAAATACTGTGCCTCTTAAGAACATGAACCTGTTTTTCTTCATTTTTTAGCAGATTTCTTAATGAAATATATAGCATACTATTTTGTTTAACACATAAGCAGACACCCTGTCAGAAGCAAAGAGACATCTACTTCACCATTACCACCCATCCCTCTGCTAATGTGGCTGCTGAAGATGTTACCTAGAGCAGAGGACTTTGTGTTCAGCCTAAGCACTTTATATCCTTTATTTTCAATTGGGTAGGAGATAAAATAATTCAGCAGCAATAAAAGTCACACTTCTTAAAGTTGCAGTCTCACCAATGCACCACAATGTAGCAGTCTCTCTTGTGAGGTATCACGTGGAGTTCTTCATCTCACCACCAAGATGATTAAGGAACAGGGACACACGGGTGAGGTTGGAGTGAAAGTTTAATAAGAAAAAGGAGGAAGCTCTCTGCAGCAGACAAAGGAGTCCAACTGGATTGCCGTTTTTACTGTTGAATCAAAAAGCTTTTATAAGAAACTCCTCTCAGCTCTATATAAAACTGTCTGCACAATTCCCTTTATATATCCAGCTGTGGGTATGTGTCTAGTCAAGCATAAAGTGGGCTTCTCTTGTTTGTATAACTGTGGGTTTGTTTTAGGTAAGCCCACCTCCTCCCTGTGCAAGTTCCCACAGAGGCCGCCATGTATATGCCTGAAAAAGGGAGGAAAATTTTACCTGGGAGCTTGCCAATTACACAAAGACAGAAGGCATGTGTGCTGGACCTTGCATGCTTATCTGTTCAGGACTTATCTGTAGGTGCAGTAGTTGTGATTTTTCAGGCTGACAGCTTCCCTGAGGACCAGTCTCTTACTTGTTTACTCAACTAATTTTCCTTTCCTTCTCCCTCAACATTATGCAGCAAAACAGAGTACACTTCTCTTTCCCAGTAAACCAGGTTGGTACTCCACTCTGAATACTTGTATTATTGGATTTCTTAGAAAAAAATATTTGGGATCATAATTTAGATGCCATCAAACAATGAACAAAAACATGCTACTTCGTTTCCCTTCTCTTCTCTTGTTACCAGACAATAGCTAGTTTTCTTTTCTCTCCAATCCCTTTTTTCTGTGCTTCTACCTGATTTTTGAAAAAACTTCTACACATTTCCAATCTTAGTATAGCAGACATCATATATGTGGTCAAACTACATACGTAGGAAGAATAGAATTATATAATTATATTCAAGCATTTTAAAATAATTACCCTTCAGTTTGTTTTGCAGTTATTTTACATAATCAAATGTCTTCCTGATATATTTTCCAACCCAGTGGTTGTCAAGCTCTGCTTTGTTTTCTAATTGCATCAGAATTATCCACAAGTCTTTTTTTTTTTTTTTGAGATGGAGTCTTACTGTTGCCCAGGCTCTAGTGCAGTGGCGTGATCTCAGCTCACTGTCATCTCTGCCTCCCTGATTCAAGTGATTCTCCTGCCTCAGCCTCCCAAGTAGCTGGGACTACAAGTGTGTACCACCATGCCTGGCTAATTTTTGTATTTTTAGTAGAGATGAAGTTTCACCATGTTGGCCAGGCTGGTTTTGAATTCCTGACCTCAAGTGATCCACTGCCTGGGCCTCCCAAAGTAGGAATTATCCAAAATTCTTATGATAAATATGGATAAATCAGCACAACTCAAGATTTAAGAAATAAAAATTTCCAAGAGAAGAAACCCAGGAATATGCATTGAAAATGACTCCCTCAGGTGATTCTGATGTGATATGTGGTCTGAGTTTAAAATGCAAGGAAAATTACCTTCCCTGCCCTCCAGTTGGCCCTTATGTCCAGATGTCCCTCTTCCCCTTTCTCATTGTGCTCTCTCCTTCTGTGCCTTTGTTCTATTCTCTCTCCACTTCTCATCCAGATGCCAAGCCCTCTTCCATCAATTGTCTTAAAACTCCAAATGGTCAGTTGCCTCTAAACTTTCCTCTGTCCCATGAACAAGTTACTCAGGCAAACGTAGAATTTAAGCTTGGACCAAGCTGAATCAAGAGCTGCAATTAAAGGTTTCCCTAAGCCCAGAGGGGACCAGCGAATACTTATAGAAGATTTTGGATTTCCTCTGAATGCATAAGGCTCTGGGTAACCTAATTCTATAGACCAAATGTTATTGTCCCCCTCAAATTCAAGTGCTGATATCTAATTCCCTATGTGATATTTGGAGGTAGGGCCTTGGGGAATGATTAGCTCATGAAGGCAGGGGCCACAGGAGTGGGATTAATAGCCCCTATTGAAGGCACCATAGAGAGCTCTCTCATCCCTTCTGTCATGTGAGGACATGGTAGAAACATGGCTGTCTATGAACCACAAAGCAAGCCCACACCAGACATGGAATCTGCTAACCACTTGACCTTGAATTTTGCCATCTCCAAAACTGAAAGAAACAAATTGGTTTATAAGCTTCCTCATCTATGGCATTCTGTTTTGACCCCAGATTAGCTAAAAACACCAAAATATCAACTTGTACACCAAATTTTGGAAATGGATGCTAAAACTTTGATGGCAAAAGGTGACTGATCTGCCTGAGAAACGAAGCTACATGATCCCTCTTTTCACAAAGCTGGAGGGAGAGTCAACACAAGCAAAAATAGGTCAAATTCTTCTAAAAGCCATACCTGAAGGGTTTTCAATATCACTTGATCAGATCGTAATTTAATCACACAAAGAGCCATAACTAAACACACAACTATCAGAGGTTTTCAATGTCACCTTAAAAACATCATCTACAATATTAGGGAGTGAAAGAAGTCATGGAAGTTTCAAAAAGTCAAACTTTATTTCAGTGTTATGGTAGAAATTTGAGATTCTTAGTTAAGCTATGAATAAATCCTTGGGCAGGTGCAGGCATGGAGATTCTGGGGTGCAGCTGCTGAGTTTAAATCTTCCTTTGGAGATGCCCCCTGGCCCCCTCAACCCCTGTCCACCTGTCAAGAAGAGGCCATCCTGGGCAGAACATTAGAGGCAAATGGCCCAGATGCCTAGCTGAGGGCAAACCTCCATGCCTGGAGGAGGAGGTCGCCTCTGGGAGCAGGAGGACCTCCTGGAACCCCTGCTCACAGGCTCCTTTTCTTGCTCTCCAGCACCTCCTGTAGGCAGGCAAACAACCCCAGCAGCAGTAGCAGCAGGCTCTTCAGCAGCAGGGCTGCTGCTCTGCTGAATGAGAGAAGTCCCTCTCCAGTGAGGCAGAGGAGCCCAGGTTGCACACCCTGGTCTCTGCCTCCATAGCTTCCACTGTGCCCAGGACTGGGAGCAGTGTGGGAGCTGCTGGCTGGAGCTGTGCTGGTCACCCCCTCTCTGCCACCTCTAGCTCCAGCCACACTTTCAGCTTGGGCAGTCCCAGGGCAATGGCAGGAGGGCTCTGGAGCCTCCTCTAGCTCCAGCGCTGTCCCTGGAGGGGGCTTTGACCCTGGTGCTGGCACTGGCTCCACAGCTGGCACTGGAAATAGCTGTATTTCTGCACCTGAAGCAGGAACTGAAAAAGGAGAGAGGTCACCAATATCACTCACTTTCCACTGGAATTTCCAAACATGAAAACAACCTCACTGAATTTAAAGGTATTTCAGCCTGAAAACATTGTCCCTGGAAAGACTTCCAGACTGCAGGTGACCTCAGCATGTGCCTGTGTCTCAATGAGCTCCAGAGGCTCCAGCTGGACAAGGACAATGTGCAGATGTGGCCCTGGTGGGATCACTGTGAGGCCTGGCCTGGTAGCTCCATCTGGGGCCTGATGTCTACCTGGTGACTCCTGTCCTGTGGTACCTGGGGGGGCCTTCTGCTAAATGGCCAGAGGCATCTGGGGTGAGGGATGAGCCTACAAGGGCATCGTCAGAAAAGAAAGGTTCTCACTCCTGCCATTCCTGAAGCAGGAGCCTTGAGATGTGCGGATGCAGCACAGGAACATCTTGCTCTCTTGAGCATCTCCCACCAAGTGAGCTGGCTATGGGGCTAACTCTAGGATGTGGGTGCCTGGTTATCGGGATTCTTTTTTTTTTTTTTTTGAGACATAGTCTCATTCTGTTGGCCAGGCTGGAGTGCAGTTTCATGATCTCAGCTCACTGCAACATCCGCCTACCAGGTTCAATCAATTCTCCTGCCTCAGTCTCCTGAGTAGCTGGGATTACAGGCACAAGACATGCACCACAACACCTGGCTAGTTGTTTTTTTTTGTTTGTTTGTTTTTTTTTTTTTTTTTGAGACAGAGTCTTGCTCTGTCTCCCAGGCTGGATGGAGTGCAGTGGCGCGATCTTGGCTCACTTCAAGCTCCGCGTCCTGGGTTCATGCCATTCTTCTGCCTCAGCCTACCAAGTAGCTGGGACTACAGGCACCTGCCACTATGCTCGGCTAATTTTTGTATTTTTAGTAGAGATGGGGTTTCACTGTGTTAGCCAGTATGGTCTCGATCTCCTGACCTTGTTTGTTTTTTGTATTTTTAGTGGACATATGGTTTTACCATGTTGGTCAGGCTGGTCTTGATCTCCTGATTTCATGATCCTCCTGCCTCAGCCTCCCAAAGTGCTGGGATTACAGGTGTGAGCCACCGTGCCTGGCCTGGTTACCAGAATTCTAATTTCCGTTAGGGTCTGTTGCCAAGGAAGTGAGGTCGCTTCTTTAAGGTTCCGTCCCCTTGGCCTCCTCCTTCCAGAAGACCTACTCAGGACCCCAGTGGGCTGCTGACTGCTCACCTTCCCCACAGGTCAACTCCTTACCTGTACACAGTTATGTCCACCCAGGGCCTGCTTGGACACCTGCACCTGATGTTCCCCAGGGGCCTAGGAATCCACTTGGGGCCTGGGAACCTACAGGGGCCTAATGTTACCCTGCAGATTGGGTAGCCACCTGGGGACCAGGCATCAACCTGGGTACTGTGGTTGACCTGTGGGCTAATGTCCAGCTGGGGACTGGTTATTCACCTGAGGCCTGATGCGTACCTGGGGCCGAATGTCCCCCTCAGGGTGAATTCCACCTCAGGCCTGTATGTCCACCTGGGGCCTGATGTCTGCCTTAGATCTGTGTCCCACTGGGGCCTTGTGTTCACCAGGGACTGGTATCCAGCTGTGGCCTGATGACCTACTGCATCCTGCTGCTCACCTACGGCCTGGTGTCTACCTGGGGCTTGGTGATCACCTGGGAGCTGGATATCAACCTGGGGCCTGGGTGTCCACTTAAGGCCTGATGTGGGCCTGGGGCCTGACTGTCCACCTGGGGACTGGGTGTCCACCTGGGGTCTGATGTCCACCTGAAGTTAGGTATTTACCTAAGGCTTGGTGTCTACCTGTGCCCTGATGTCCACATGAGTCTGGGGTTTGGTTGGGGCCTGCTGTACATCTGGGAACTTGGTGTCTATCTGAGGCCTGATGTGTACCTGGTGACTGCGATCCTCTTGAGGCCTGCTATCCACCTGGGAATGGTTTATCCATGGAAACGGTTATGTCCACCTGGGGCTGGATGTTGCCCAGCGGCTAGATGTCCACCTGTGGCCCCGTATCCACCTAGGGCCTGATGTCCACCTGGGGCATGGTGTTCACCTGAGACCCGGGTGTTTACATAGGGCCTGATGTCCAGCTGGTGCCTAGGTGCCCACTGGGGGCCTTGTGTTAACCTGGGGACTGGTATCCAGCTGGGTCCTAATGACCACCTGGGTTGAATTATTCACCTAGAGTTTGGTATTCACTTAGGGCTTGAGTGTCAGCCTTGGACCTGGTGTCCACCTGGGCCTTGGGTATCAAACTAGGGGTTTGGTATCCAGTTGAGACATCATTTGCACCTTGGGTCTGAGTGTTCGCATGAGGCCAGATGACCACTGGGGGCCTGAATGTCAACCTGGGTTCTGAAATTCACTGGAAGCCTAGGTATCTAGCTGGGGCCTGATGTCCACCTGGGACTAGGTGTCAACATGTGGCCTGATGTAAACCTCTAGTTGAGTGTCCACCTTGGGCCTGATGTCCACTGGGGGACTGATGTTCCCCTTTGATCTGATGTCTACCTGGAAACCGTGTATTCACCCATGGCCTGATGGTCACCTGGGGTTGAATGTCCAACTGTGGCCAGATGTGCACCCGGATCCTGGGCATCCACCTGGGGCCTGATGTTCATCTGGGGCCTGGAGTTCACCTGAGGCACGATGTCCACCTGAAGCCTAATGTTCATCTGAGTGCTGAGTCTAATGTACTCCTGGGTTCTAGGGTCCTCTTGGGACCTGATGTCTACCAGATCCTGGTATCCACTTGGGGCCTGGTATCCACCTAGGACTTGATATTCACCTGGGGCCTGGGAATCCACTTGATAACTGGTGCCCATCAGGGTCCTATGTTTACCTTGGGACTGGGTAACCACCTGAGGCCTGATGTCCACTTAGGGCATAAGTGTTTAGCTGGGGTCTAGTGTTCACATAGGGTCTGATGTCAACCTTGAGCCCAGGTATTCACCAGGAGACTAGTGTCCAGCTGGGACCAGATGTTCACTTGGGGCCAGGTGTCAACTTGAAGCATGGTTGTCAACCTAGGACCTGATGTCTAGTCCAGTGTCCACCTTGGGCCTGTTTACTACCCGGGGCCTGTGTGTCCACATAGACCCTGATGTCAATCTGGGGCCTGGGTATTTACCGGAGGCCTGGATATTCATTGGTACATTATGTCTACTGGAGTCTTTGTGTCAATCTGAGCTCTGATGTCCACTTAGAGATTGGGTATCCACCTAAGGCCTGTTGTTTACATGGGGCCTGTAACAAGAGGTTCCAGATGAACTCAGATGTCCACCTGAGGCCTGATGTCCACCTGAGTTCTGAGTGTTAACACAGGGCCTGCTGTCAACCTGGGACCTAAGTATTTACCTAGGGCCTGGGTGTCCAGCTGGGGCCTGACTTCCAAATAGATCTTGTGTCAACAGGTGGCTTGATGTGCACTTTGGGCCTAGGTAACTTCCTGATGACTAATGCCCACATGGCTCCTAAGGACCATCTGAGGCCTGGTATTAATTTAGAGACTGGTATACACCTGGAGTCCAGGTATCCACTTGGGACCTGATGTTCACCTGGAGTGTACGAATTCACGTGGGGCCTGGTGTCCACCTTGAGTGTGTGTATCCAATTGAGTGCTGGTGTCCACCTGGAGTCCAGTGTATACCCGGGGACTGATGTACACATGGGGCCTGGGCATCCATCTAGGACCTGATATTCAGATAAGGGCTGGCGTTCTCCTGGCCTGGTGTCCACATGGAGCCTGGATATACACTTGGAGCCGGATGTCCCAGGTGGATACCTGGGCCCCAGTGGTCATCAGATCCTAGGAAACTCTCAGGCCCCAGGTGCACATAAAGCTCCAAGTGACCACCTAGGCCACAGGTTGATACACAGGGTCCAGGTGGACACTGGGTGCAAGATGAACACCAGGCCCCTGGTGAACACAAAGCCCCAGGTGTCTACCTAGTCCTCAAGTGGACACCAGGCACTAGATTGACACACAGATACCAGGTGGACATCAGGCTGCAGGTGAACATCGGGCCTCAGGTGGTTGGGTTACTTATAGCATAGGTGGCCATCAGGTCCCAGGTCTATATCCACTCCCCACCTGAAAATCAGGATCCAGGTGGATACCCATATTCTAGGTGAACACCAGTTTCCAAATGGACATCAGGCTCCAAGTGAACACACAGGCCCCAGTTCAATACCAGCCTCAGGTAGACATCAGGACCCAGGTGGACCCCAGGCCCAATGTGCATGCCTAGTCTCTTGGAATACATCATTTTCAACGTGGACACCCAGATTCCTTGTAGACGTCTACTGCCAGGTGGATATCTGGCTGCAGGAGGACATCAGGCCCCAGGTGGAGACCCAGTACACAGGTGTAAATCAGGCTGCAGTATTTCATCAGGCCCCAGTTAAACACTTGACTAAAGGTGTGCATCAAGACCCAGGTTGACACCCAGGCTTCAGTGCACACTAGGCCCAAAGTGTACACCTGTGCCAAGGTGGGCATCAGGCCCAAGGTGTACACCAGACTCCAAGTGGACATCAGGTTCCAGGTTGACACCAGTCTCTAAGTAGATCCTTAAGCCCCAATTGGTCATCAGGCCCAAGGTGGATAGATTGACCCCAGGAGGTCTCCAGGTCCCAGGCAGGCCTCAGGTGGACACTAAGCCCTAGATTAACACAAGGTCTGAGATGGTTTCAGCCCCTGTGTGGACTTTAGTCATAAGGAGCTTACCTAGGCCCTAAGAGGACATCAGGCCCCAGGTTGACACAATGAACCATGTAGAAGTCAGGCTCTAAGTAGACACCCAGGCCCTAGGTAAATACTTTGGTCCCAAGCCAACATCAGGCCCTATGTGGACACCCAGACTCCAGGCAGATGTCAGGCCCCAGGTGAACACTGAACTCAGGGTGGTCCTCAGGCCCTAGGTTGACACATAGGCCACAGGTAGACAACAGGCATAGGTGAACTTCAGGCTAAATATGAACGTCGGGCTCCAGGAAGAAGTCTGTGCCCCAGTTAAACACCGGGTCTTAGGTAGACATCAGGCCTCAAATGGATGCCCAGGCCCCAGGTGGATATAAGGCCTCAGGCAAACACCAGATCCCAGGTAGACATTAGACACAAGATGGACACTCAGGCCACAAGTGAACATCTGTTCCCAGATGGACATCCATCCCAAGGTGGACATCAGGCCAGAGATGTACACCCAGGCCCCAGGAGAACCCCAGGCCCCAGGAGGACACTCAAGCGCCAGAAGGACACCCAGTCCCTAGGTAACTAAAAGGCCCCAAGTGGACATGATGTTCCAGATGGATATGAGGCCCCAAGTGGATACTAGGCCCAGGTGGACCCCAGGTCTCAGGGGCACACCAGGCCCCAGGGGAACACCAGGCCCTGGGTAAGCATGCAGTCCCAGGTGGACATCAGGTGCCAGGAGGACACCAGGACCCAGTTGGTCATCAAGCCACAGCTGAACACCAGTTCCCCATGAACACCAGTCCTCAGGTGGGCACCTAGTCCTCCCGTGTGCATCAGGTGCCAGGCTGACATATGCACCAGCTGAACTCTGGGCCTCAGGTGAACATCAGATCCCAGGTTGTCACCCAGGCCCCAAGTGAATACCAGGTTTTAGGTGGACACGAGGTCCTAGGTGGATGTCTATGCTCCTGGTGAACCTCAGGCCCTAGTGGACACTCAGGCCCTTTATAGACATCTGGCTCCTTGTGCACTCCCAGGGCCCAGGTAGACATGAGGACCCAGAGGAAAACCAGTCCTTAGTCATCTAACACTGAATTCCCCTAGGGCTGGAGACTGAGTATTCACCTTGGGCCTAGGAATCTACCTGGGGCCAGATGTTGATCTGGGGCCTGATGTCTACTCAGGTTCAGCTGTCCACTTAGGGTGGGGTGTTTTTCTGGGACCCAGAGTCTACCTGAAATCTTGGTATCAACCTGGGGCCTATGTGTCCACTTGGAGTCTGATGTGCACTTGAAGCCTGAATTTTCACCTAGGATCTGATGAGCACTTGGGGCGCAGGTTTCCATCTGAAAATCAGGCTCTAGTTATACATCTGGGCCCCAGGTATACCCTGGACACCGAAAGAACTCCAGCCCCTATCTTAACATGAGGTCCTAGGTGGATGCCCAGGCGTCATGTCTACATTAGGCCTCAGGTAGACACGACTCCAGGCGGGCATCAGGCCTGATATTGGCTCTATGTCTCCACCCAAATCTCATGTTGAATTGTAATCCCCATGGGTTGAAGAAGGGGCGTGGTGAGAGGTGATTGAATCATGGGGGCAGACTTCCCACTTGCTCTTCTCGTGATAGACTTCTTACGAGATCTGGTTATTTGAAAGTGTGCAGCACATCCCCCTTCTCTCTCCCTCCTCCTCCCCCATGGTAAAAAGGGCTTGCTTCCTCTTGGCTTTACATCATGATTGTAAGTGTCCCGGGCCCACCCAGTCATGCTCCCTATTAAGCCTGAAGAACTGTGGGTCAGTTAAACCTCTTTTCCTCATAAGTTGCCCAATATCAGGTAGTTTTTTATAACAGTGTGAAAATGGACTAATACAAGACCTTAGGATAACAACCATGCTTCAGGCCATAGGTGGACATCTGGCTGCAACTGGACACTATTCCCCAGGTGGATACCTAGGCTCAAGGTTGACATTAGTCTCCAGGTAAACAACAAGCCCCAGGTGAATACCTATGCCCTAAGTAGACATCAGGCCTCAGGCTGACACTCAGTCTAAGCTCAACATTAGGCTCAGGTGGACACCCAGACTCCAGGTGGATACTAGACCCCAGGGGAACACCAGACTCCTGGTAAGCATAAGGCCCCAGGAGGACACTAGAATCCAGGTGTACATAAAGCCACTGGTTGACTCCAAGCCCTCAGATGAACACCAGGCCAACTAGTGGACATTAGGCACATGAGAATACTTGGGCACCAGGCAGGTATCAGGCCCCGGGTAAACATCAAACTTCAGGTGGACATCGTTCTCCATGTAAACTCTAGCCCCAGCTAAACATCAGGCTCCAGGTGGAAGCCCAGACCCCAGGTGCACTTCTGGCCACAGTTGGACATCTGTCCCCAGGTGAATATCAGACCATGGATGGATAGCAAGTCCCCAGGTGGACATCAGGTCAAAAGAGAATATAAGTCTCTAGGAAGACATCTGGCCCCAGGTGGATACTGAACTAGAGGTTTACATCAGACCCCAGATTGACATTCAGTCCCCAGGTGGTCATGACACCTCAATTGGACACCAAGTCCTCAGGTTGATAACCAAGTCCCAGGTGGACACCACGTCAAAGATGAACACAAGACCTAAGGTTGTCATTCAAGCCCCAAATGGACACCAGGCCCTAGGTGAATAATATGACCCAGGGGATCATTGGGACCCAGCTGCATACCAGTCCCCAGGTTTACACGAGGCCCCAAGTAGGTTCCTAAGCTCTAGTTGAACATGAGGTCTCCAGTAGACACCCAGGACTAAGGTGGACATCAAGCATCAGATGGACGTCTGGCTGCGGATGAACATCAAGCCTCACATGGATACCTAGTCCGCAGGTAGGCATCAGGCCCCAGTTTGACATCAGTTTCTGGGTGGATCCTTAAGCCCCAGGTGGATATCCAGTGTCCAGCTGGACATCAGCCCCTCGTGGACGCCCAGTCCCCAGGTGAATATCAGGTCTCAGATGAACACAAGTCCTCAGGCAGACATCAGACACCAGGTGTACACTCAGACCCCAAGAGGACATCTGTCCCCAGGTTGACATCACTCTCAAGGTGTACATTAAGCCACAGATGTACACCCAGGTCCAAGGCAGACACGAGTCCCCAGTAAAACTCAAGGCCCCAGGAGGATACTCAAGCCCTAGGTGGATGCCCAGACCCCAGGTAATTACAAGGCCCCAGGTGGATACCAGATTCCAGATGAACATTAGGCCTCAAGTGGATACCTAGGCACCAGGTAGACACCAGGCCCCAGGTACATCCCCTGGTCTCAGGTGCACACTAGGTCCCCAGTGAACACTGGCTCCAGGTAAGCACCCAGTCCAAGGTAGACATCATGACCCAGGTGGTCATTAGGCCACAGCTGAACACCAATCTTGAGTGAACACCAGATCCCAGGTGGGTACCTAGTCCAGGTGGATATTAGGCCCCAAGTGGACACCCAGCCCCCAGGTGAACATCAAGCTTCAGGTGGACATCATGCCTCAGGTGAACTCCGGGTCCCAGCCCAGCTGAACATCAGGCTGCAGGTGGATGCCTAGGTTCCAGGTGCACAACAGGTCACAGTTGGACATTCAGCCCCAGGTGAACATCAGGCCATGGGTGGATAAACAGTCCACAGGTGGACATCAGGTCAAAGGTGAACATCAGTACTCAGGTGGACATCAGGCTCCAGGTTGACATCAAGCCCAAGGTGGACACTGAACTAGAGGTTTACATCAGGCCCCAGGTTGACACCCAGGCTCAGGTGGACATTGGGCCCCAGGTGGATACCTAGGCCCCTAGTAAACCTCAGATTCTAGGTTGACATTCAGGCCCCCAGTAGTCATTTGGCCCCAAGTGGACACTCAGGCGCCAGGTTCACATGATGCCTTAACTGGACACCAAGGGGCCAGTTTGATACCCAAGTCCTGTGTGGGTGCCAGGTCCAAGGTTACACTCAAGCCCCAAGTGGACACCAGGCCCTAGGTGAATAATACAACCCAGGTGGTCATTAGGCCCCAGAATGACACCAGCCCCCAGGTTAACAGGAAGCCCCCAGTGGGTACCTAGGCCCCAGGTGGACATCAGGCCTAATGTGGACACCCAGGATCAAGATGGACATCAGGACTCAGATGGACATCTGGTGACAGGTGGACAACAAGCCTGGTGTGTACCTTGTCCCCGGGTGGTCATCAGGCCCCAGTTCAACACCAGTCCCTGGGTGGATTCCTCGGCTCCAGGTGGACATCTGGTCTTCAGCTGAACATCAGACCCCAGGTGAACACCAGGTTTTAGGTGGACATTAGGCCCCTGGTGGACATAAAGTACCAGTGGACATCCATGCTGCAGGTGGACACCCAGCGCCCAGATGGGCATCAGGCCCCATTTGGACATTGAGGCCCCAGGTGGATATCAGGCCTCAGGTGAACCCAAGGTCCAACATAGACATCAGGCCTTAGGTTGACACTCAAGCACCAGATGGACTGCTGCACCTAAGCAGAAAATAGACTCCTATCTGGATATGTAAGATACAGGTATACAACAAGCCCCAGGCTGACATCCAGACCCCAGGTGGACACCATACCCCAGCTGAACAGCAGGCAACAGTTTGGCACCAAGTACCTAAGTGAAACAAAGCCTTAGGTGATTACCAGGCCATAGGTAGTCATTAGTCTCCAGCTGGACAATAGTCCCTAGGTGGATACCTAGGCCCCAGGTGGACACTAGATCCCAAATTAACACAAAAACCAAGTAAAAAATCAAGCCCCCAGTGGACAACCAGGCCCTAGGTAAATACACAAATCTCAAGCTGACACCAGGCCCTACTTGGACACCCAAGCCCTAGGTGGACTTCAGGCCACAGGTGAACACTGAACTCTAGAAGGTCTTCAGGCCCTATGTTGACTACCTGGCCCCAGGGGGACACCAGGCATAGATGAACTTCAGGCACCAGCTGTACATCAGGTTCCAGGCAAATGTCCCGGCCCCAGGTGGATATCAAACCTCAGATGAACACCAGGCCCCAGGTAGACATCAAAAACCAGGTGGACACTCAGGTCCCTACTGAATATCCATCCCCAGGTGGACATCCATCCCAAGGTGGACATGAGGCCACAGATGTACACTTAAGCCTAAGGCAGACCCCAGGCCCCAGGAAAACTCCAGGCTCCATTAGAGCACTCAGACCTCAGGTGGATGCATTGGTCCTAGGTAAATACAAGGCCCCAGACAGACATCAGGCCCCAGTGAACACCGGAGCCCAGGTGGATACCTAGTCCCCAGCTGTGCAACAAGCAGAAGGTTGACCCAGTCCCTAGCTGAACTCTGGGCCCCAGCTGAACATCATAACCCAGATGGTCACCCAGGCTCCGGGTGAACACACGGTCTTAGGTAGACATCAGGTCCCACATGAACACCCAAGCCCCAGGTAGATATCAGGCCTTAGGTGTACACCAGACCTCAGGTGGGCATCTGGCTCCAGATGGCCATAGGTGGATAACTAAGCCTCTCCTGGATATCAGGCCCCAGGTAGACACCAGGCTCCAGGCGAACATCTAGCCCCAGGGGGACATCCAGCCCCCGGTGAACATCAGGGATCACATGGATAAACAGTTTACGGATGGGCACCTGCCACAGGTGCCTCACCTCTACTCCCTGAAACCTCACTTCCCCTCATGGGCCTTCTGTCCGACTTGGGGTACCCCTAGCCGCCCTAGGCACACACTGGACTCGAACCAGGGGCGCCAGCATCCCTGGGGCTCAGCGCAAGGGTTCATGGGAATACACTTTCGTCCGTGGGGGACCCAGTCCTCACTTCTCGGCGGCACAGTTTTTTTTTCTCTGCCCCAGGTGCCTCACCTTCCCCTCATGGGCCTTCTGTCCACCTTGGGGTACCCCTAGCGGCCCGAGGCATACCCTGGGCTCGAACCAGGGATCCCAGGGTCCCCGGGGCGCAGCGCAAGGGCTGATGGGGAGACACTTTCTTCTGTGGGGGACCCAGGCCCCGCTTCTCTGAGGCGCGTTTTTTTTTTTTTTCTGCCCTAGGTGCCTCACGTTCACCTCATGGGCCTTCTGCCCGCTTTGGGGTACCCCTAGCGGCTCCAGGCACAAGCCGGGCTTGAATAAGGGTCGCCAGGGTCCCCGGGGCCCAGCGCAAGGGTTGATGGGACGACACTTTCACCCATGGGGGACCCAGGCCCCGCTTCTCCGCAGCGCGGTTTTTTTTTTTTTTATTTGCCCCAGGTGACTCACCTTCCCCTCATGGGCCTTCTGTCTGCTTTGGGTTACCCCTAGCAGGCCAGAGGCGCACCCTGGATTCCAGCCAGGGATGCCAGGGTCCCCGGGGCCCAGTGCAGGGGCTGATGAGAAGGCACTTTCGTCCGTGGGGTACCCAGGCCCTGCTTCTCTGTGGCGCAGTTTTATTTTTTTCTTTTCCGCCTCAGGTGCCTTACCTCTCCTCCCTCAAACCTCACCTTCCCCTCATAGGCTTTCTGCCCGCCATGGGGTACCCCAAGAGGCCCGAAGCGCACCCTTGTCTTGAACCAGGGATGCCAGGGTCCCCTGGGCCCAGCTCAGAGGCTGATGGGAAGACACTTTCGTCCGTGGGGGAACCAGGCCCTGCTTCTCTGCGGCACAGTTTTTTTTTTTTTCTGCCTCAGGTGCCTCACCTTCCCCTCATGGGCCTTCTGCCCGCTTTTGGGTACCCCTAGCGAGCCCAAGGCGCACCCTGGGCTCGAACGAGGGTCGCCAGGGTCGACGGAGCCCAGCGCAGGGGCTGATGGGAAGACACTTTCATCCGTAGGGGACGCAGGCCCCGCTACTCTGTGCTTCGGTTTTTTTTTTTCCTCTGCCCCAGGTGCCTCACCTTTCCTCCCTCAAACCTCACCTTCCACTCCTGGGCTTTCTGCCTGCGTTGGAGTACCCCTAGCGACCCGAGCGCACCCTGGGCTCGAACCAGGGATGCCAGGGTCCCTGGGGCCCGGTGCAGGGGCTGATGGGAAGACACTTTCGTCCGTGGGGAACCCAGGGCCCGCTTCTCGGCGGCGCGGTTTTTTTTCTCTGCCCCAGGTGCCTCACCTTCCCCTCAGGGGCCTTCTGCCTACGTTGGGATACCCTAGCAGTCCCGAGGTGCACCCTGGGTTCAAACCAGGGACGCCAGTGTCCCCAGGGCCCAGCGCAGGGGCTCATCGGAAGGCACTTTCTTCCGTGGGGTACCCAGGCCCCGCTTCTAGGCGGAGCGGTTTTTAATTTTTTTCTGTGCTCCAGGTGTCTCACCTTCCCCTCATGGGCCTTCTGCCCACCTTGGGGTACCCCTAGCAGGCCGAGGCACACCCTGGGCTCTAACCAGGGATGCCAGGGTCCACAGGCCCAGCTCAGGGGCTTATGGGAAGACACTTTCGTCTGTGGGGGACCCAAGCTCTGCTCCTCTGCAGGGTTTTTTTTTTTTTCTCTTCCCCAGGTGCCTCACCTTCCCTTCATGGGCTTTCTGCCCGCCTTTGGGTACCCCTAGCGGGCCCGAGGCTCACCCTGGTTTGGAGCCAGGGATGCTAGTGTCCCCGGGGCCCAGCGCAGCGCTGATGGGAAGGGACTTTTGTCCGTGGGGAACCCAGGACCCACTTCTCCGAGGTGACCTTTTTTTTTTTTTCTGCCGCAGGTGCCTCACCTCTCCTCCCTCAAAGCTCACCTTCCCCTCATGAGCCCTCTGTCCGCCTAGAGGTACCGCTAGCGGCCCGAGGCACACCCTGTGGCTGAACCAGGGACTCCAGGGTCCCTGCGGCCCAGCACAGGCGCTGATGGGAAGACACGTTCGTTCGTGGAGGACCCAGGCCCCGTTTCTCAGTGGCGTGGTTTTTTTTCTCTGCCCGGGTGCCTCACCTTCCTCTAATGGGCCTTTTGCCCGCTTTGGGGTACCCCTAGCGGGCCCTATTCGCACCCTGCGCTCGAACCAGGGTCGCAGTGTCCACGAGGTCCAGCGCAAGGCCTGATGGGAAGGCACTTTCATCACTGGGGACCCAGGCCCCGCTTCTCCGTGGCGAGGTTTTTTTTTTTTTCTCTGCCCCAGGTGCCTCACCTTCCCCTCAAGTGCCTTCTGCATGCTTTGGGGTACCCCTAGCGGCCCAAGGCGCACCCTGGGCTCGAACAATGGAAGCCAGGTTCCACGGGGCCAAGCGCAGTGGCTGATGGGAAGACACGTTCTTCCTCGGGGACCCAGGCTCTGCTTCTCTGCGGCGTTTTTTTTTTTTTCTTTTCCCCAGGTGCCTCACTTTCCCGTCATGGGCTTTCTGCTCGCCTTGAGGTACCCCTAGCGGGCCCGTAGGCGCACCCTGGTTTCGAGCCAGAGACGCTAGGGTCTCCGGGGCCCAGTGCAGGGCTGATGGGTAGGGACGTTCTTCCGTGGGGGACCCAGGCCCCACTTCTGGGCGGCACAGTTTTTTTATTTTTTTCTCTGCCCCAGGTGTCTCACCTTTCCCTCATGGGCCTTCTGTCTTGGGGTACCCCTAGCAGGCCGAGGCACACGCTGGGCTCCAGCCAGGGATACCAGGGTCCCCGGGGCGCAGTGCAAGCGCTGATGGGAAGACAGCTTCTTCTGTGGGGGACCCAGGCCCCGCTTATCCGCGGCGCGGTTGTTTTTTTTTTTCTCTGCCCCACGTGCATCACCTTCCCCTCATGGGCCTTCTGCCCGCTTTTGGGTACACCTAGCGGCCTGAAGCACACCCTGGTCTCGAACCAGGTACGCCAGGGTCCCCTGGGTCCAGCGCAAGGGCTGATGGGAAGACACTTTCGTCCGTTGGGGACCCAGGCTCCGCTTCTCCGTGGTGCAGTTTTTTCTTTTTTTTCCTGCCACAGGTGCCTCACCTCTCCTTCCTCAAACCTCAACTGCCCCTCAGGGATTTCTGCCCACCTTGGGGTACCCCTAGCAGGCCCGAGGCGCACCCGAGGCTCGAACAGGGTCTCTAGCGTCCACAGGGCCCAGCGCAGGGACTGATGGGAAGGCATTTTCATCCGTGGGGGACCCAGGCCCAGCTTCTCCTAGGCGCGGCTTGTTGTTTTTTTTTTTTTCTGCCACAGGTTCCTCACCTCTCCTCCCTCAAACGTCAACTTCCCATCATGGGCTTTCTGCCCGACTTGGGGTACCCCTAGCAGCCCAAGGCGCTCCCTGGACTCGAACCATGGATGCCAGGGTCGCCGGGGCCCAGCACAGGGGCTGATCGGAAGGTACCTTCATCCGTGGGTACCCAGGCCCCGCTTCTCAAAGCTGCGGTTTTTTTTCTCCGCCCCAGGTGCCTCACCTTCCCCTCATTGGCCTTCTGCCTGCTTTGGGGTAACACGAGCTGGCCCAAGGCGCTCCCGGGTCTCGAACCAGGGTCGCCAGGTTCTCGAGGCTAGCGCAGGAGGTGATGGGAAGGCACTTTCATCAGTGGGGACCCAGGCCCGGCTTCTCAGAGGCGCTGATATATATATATATATATATATATTTTTTTTTTTTTTTTCTGCCACAGGTGACTCACCTCTCCTCCCTCAAATCTCACTTTCCCCTCATGGGCTTTCTGGCTTCCTTAGGGTACCCTAGCGTGCCGGAGTCTCTTCTGATCCTTGAACTAGGGTCGCCAGGGTCCAGGAGGCCCAGCGCAGGGGCTGATGAGAAGGCACTTTCGTCTGTGGGAGAACCAGGCCCCGCTTCTCCTCGGCACGTTTGTATTTTTCTGCCGCAGGTGCGTCACCTCTCCTCCCTCAAACCTCACCTTCTCCTCATGGGCCTTCTGCCTGCTTTGGGGTACACCTAGCGGGCCTGAGGTGCACCCAGGCCTAGAACCAGGGTCGCCTGGGTCCACGGGGCCCAGCGCAGGGACTGATGGGAAGGCACTTTTTTCCATGGGAGACCCAGGTCCCGCTTCTCCGTGGCGTGGTTTCTTTTTCTTTTCTGCCACTAGTGCCTCACCTCTCCTCCCTCACAGCTCACCTTCCTCTCATGGGCTTTCCACCGCGTTGGGGTACCCCTAGTGGCCCAAGGCTCTCCCTGAGCTCAAACCAGGAACCCCAGGTTCCCCGGTACCCAGCACAGGGGCTGATGGGAAGGCACTTTCATCCGTGGGGGACCCAGGCCCCACCTCTCCACGGCGCGGGTTTTTTCTTTCTTTTTCTGTGACAGGTGCCTCACCTCTCCTCCCTCAAAACTCACCTTCCCCTCATGGGCTTTGTGCGCCCAAAGCCCCCCTTGGGGTTCACTTAGCGGCTGAGGCACACCCTGAGCTCGAACAAGGGACACCAGGGTCCCCGGTCCCAGTGCAGGGACTGATGGGAAGACACTTTCGTTCGTGGGGCACCCAGGCCGTGCTTCTCCGCGGCGAAGTTTTTTTTTTTTTCTCTGCCCCAGGTGCCTCACCATCCCCTTAGGGGCTTTCTGCCCACCTTGCAGTACCCCTACTGGCCCGAGGTGCACCCTGGGGTCAAACCAGGGATGCCAGGGTCCCCAGGGCCCAGCGAAGGGGCTGATGGGATGGCACTTTCATCCGTGGGGGACCCAGGCACTGCTTCTTGGTGGCACGTTTTTTTTTCTCTGCCTCAGGTGCCTCACCTTCCCCTCATGGACCTTTTGTTCGCTTTGTGGTACCCCAAGCGGTCCCGAGGCGCAACCTGGGCTCGAACCAGGGTCGCCAGGGTCCACCACGCCCAGCATAGGGCCTGATGGGAAGGCACTTTCATCTGTGGTGGACCCAGGCCCCACTTCTCTGAGGCGCGGTCCTCTTTTTTTTTTTTTTCTGCCCCTGGTGCCTCACCTCTCCTCCCACAAACTTCAACTTCCACTCATAGGGCTTCTGTCCGAGTTGGGGTACCCCTAGTCGCCCGAGGCGCACCCTGGGCGTGAACCAGGGATGCCAGGGTCCCTGGGGCGCAGCGCAAGGGCTGATGGGAAAAAACTTTCGTCTGTGGATGACCCAGACACCGCTTCGCGGCGCATTTTTTTTTTCTTTGCCCCAGGTGTCTCACCTTCCCCTCATGGACCTTCTGACTTTCTGCACCTGCTCCGGCGCTGTGGGCCTCCCTGCGCCTGCGCCGGCGCTGTGGGCCCCCCCACCCCCCGGCGCCTGCGCCGGCGCTGTGGCCCCCCGCCCCCCGCGACTGCGCCGGCGCTGTGGGGCCCCCACCCCCCTGCGCCTGCGCCGGCGCTGTGCAACTTTGCGAGGGCGGAGCTGCGTTCTTCCCAGCACCGACACGGAGAGCATCGCCGGGGCGGAGCTGAGTTCTCCTCTGCACACACTTCGGAGATACAGCAAAGGCGGAGCAGTGTTCTCCTCAACACAGACCTGGGCAGGCCGGGGTCTCCGTGAGGGCGGAGCTGCGTTCTGCTCAGCACAGACCCGGGGGACACCGCGAAGGCAGAGTAGCGTTCTCCTCAGCACAGACCTTGGGGGCACTGCCTCGCTTTGGGACAACTCGGGGCCGCATAGACGCTGAATAAAATCCTTCCTGTTTGCAGCCCTGAGTAATCAGGGTCAGCGACCAGTAAGAAGGGTTCAGTGTGGAAAAGGGAAACCAAAAGCCCCTCTGAATCCTACCCACCGAGGTTCTCCCCAGCCAAGGCGAGGCGCCGCAGTGCGAGATCCACACCGCAGCCTCAGAAGACAAATGCAGCATTCCTAATGCGGACATGACACCCAAAATATGACACGCCCATTGCTCATGTAACAAGCACCTGTAATGCTAATGCACTGCCTCAATACAAAAATATTAATATAAGATCCGCAATCCCCTTGCTGCCATGCAGTCCTAAGACAGATCATAATAATCAACATTGACATAGTCAATACAAACGTAGTAACGAACCTAGGGTTAAGGTTGGTGTTAGGGTTAGGGGTTAGGGGTTAAGTTTAGGGTTAGGGGTTGGAGATAGGTGTTGGGGTCAGAGTTAGGAGTTAAGAGTCAACGTTTAGAGTTAAGGGTTAAGAGAGGTTAGGGGTTAGGGATAAGGGGTTAGGGTTGGATTAGTGTGAGGGTGAGGGTTGTTGTTAGGGGTTAGGCTTAGGGGTTACAGTTAAGGGTTAAGGGTTAGGGTTAGGGGTTAGGGTTAGGGTCAGGGGTTAGGGGTCAGGGGTTAGGGGTCAGGGTCAGGGGTCAGGGTCAGGTTCAGGGGTCCCACTCTGTGAGTTGTCTATTTACTCTGCTGACTGTTCCCTTTGCCATGCAAAAGCTGTTTAATTAAGTCCCAGCTATTTATCTTTGTTTTTATTGTATTTGCATTTGGGTTCTTGGTCATGAAATCCTTGAGTATGTCAATGTCTAGAAGGGTTTATCCAGTGTTATCTTCTAGAATTTTTATAGTTCAGGAATTAGATTTAAGTTCTTAATCCATCTTGAGTAGATTTTTGTATAAGATGAGAGATGAGAATCCAGTTTTATTCCCCTACATGTGGCTCACCAATTATCCCAACATCATGTATTGTAAAGGGGGTCCTTTCCCCACTTTATGTTTTTGTTTACTTTCTCGAAGATCAGTTGGCTGTAAGTATTTGGGTTAATTTCTGGATTGTCTCTTCTGTTCCATTGGTCTATGTTCCTATTTTTAAACCAGTACATTGGTGTTTTGGTAACTATGGCCTTATTGTACAGTTTGAAATCAAGTAGTGTGATACCTCCAAGTTCTTTTTGCTAAGGCTTGGTTTGGCTACATGGCTCTCTTTTGGTTCCATATTAATTTTAGAATTGTTTTTGTAATTCTGTGAAGAATGATGGTGGCATTCAGATGGGGATTGCATTGAATTTGTAGATTGCCTTTAACAGAATGGTAATTTTCACAATATTGGTTCTACCCATCCATGAGCATGGGGATGCGTTTCCATTTGTTTTTGTCATCTATGACTTCTTTTCTTTCTTTTTTTTTTTTTTTTTTTTTTCCAGAGGGAGTTTCGCTCTTGTCGCTGAAGTGGGAGTGCGATGGTGTGATCTCGGCTCACTACAACTTCTGCCTCTCGGGTTCAAGCGATTCTCCTGCCTCAGCTTCCCGTGTAGCTCGGATTATACGCATGTGCCACCGTTCTTGGCTCCATCTATGATTTCTTTCAGTAGTGTTTTGTAATTTTCATTGTAGAGGTCTTTTGATTCCTTTGCTAGGTATATTCCTAAGTTTTTTGTTGTTGTTGTTGTTTTTTGCAGCTATTGTAAAAGGGGTTGAGTTCTTGATGTGATTCTCTGCTTGGTAGCTGTTGATGTATAGAAGAGCTACTGATTTGTGTCCATTAATCTTGTATCTGGAAACTTTGCTGAATTCTTTTATCAGTTCTAGGAGCTTTCTAGAGGAGTCCATAGGGTTTTCTACGCAAAAGATCATATCATCAGCAACAAGTGACAGTTTGACTTCCTCTTTACCGATTTGGATTTCCTCTATTTCCTTCTTTTGTCTGATTGCTCTGGCTACGACTTCCAGTACTATGTTGAAGAGGAGTGGTGAGAGTAGGCTCCTCGTCTTGTTCCAGTTCTCAAAGGGAATGCTTTCACTGTTTCCCCATTCAGTATTATGTTGGCTGTGGGTTTGTCATAGATGGCTTTTATTACATTAAGGTATGTCCCTTGTATGCCTATTTTGCTGAGAGCTTTAATCATAAAGCAATGCTAGATTTTGTCAAATGTTTTTTCTGCACCTGTTGATATAATCATATTAGATTTTTTTAATTCTGTTTATTTGGTGTATCACATTTATTGACTTGCATATGTGAAACCACTCGTATATCATTGGTATGAAACCCACTTGATCATGGTGGATTATTTTTTGATATGTTGTTGGATTCAGTTAGATAGTATGTTGTTAAGGATTTTGGCATCTGCGTTCATCAAGGATATTGGTCTGTAGTTTTCTTTTTTGGTTATGTCCTTTCATGGTTTTGGTATTAGGGTGATGCTGGCTTCATAGAATGAATAAGGGAGGGTTTCTTCTTTCTCTGTCTTGTGGAATAGTATGAAAAGTTTGGTATCATTTCTTCTTTGAATGAAAGAAGACATTCTTTGAATGTCTTGTAGAATTCTGCTGTGAATCTGTCTGGTCCTCGGCTTTTTTTGCTGGTAATTTTAAAATTACCATTTCAGTCTTGCTGCTTGCTTTATTGGTCTGCTTGGGGTATCTAATTCTTCCTGATTTAAGCTAGGAGAGTTGTATTTTTCCAGGAATTTATCCAACTCTTCTAGGTTTTGTAGTTTATGTGCCAAAAGGTGTTCATAGTACCCTTGAATAATCTTTATTATTTCAGTGGTGTCAGTTGTAATATCCCCTGTTTCATTTCTTAGTGAGGTTATTTGGATTTTCTCTCTTCTTTTCTTGGTTAATCTTGCTAATGGTCTATCAATTTTATTTATCTTTTCAAATAACCAACTTTTTGTTTTATTTATGTTTTGTATTTTTTGTTGTTGTGTCAATTTCATTTAGTTCTGCTCTGATCTTGGTTATTTCCTGTGTTTGCTGGGATTGGGTTTGGCTTGTTCCTGCTTCTCTAGTTCCCTGAGATGTGAACTTAGATTGTCTATTTGTGCTCTTTCAGACTTTTTGACGTAGGTTTTTAGGACTACAAAGTTTGCTCTTAGCAGTGCCTATGCTGTATCCCAGAGGTCTTGATAGGTTGTGTCATCCAGTTCGAATAAATTTTTTACATTTCCATCTTGATTTCATTTTTCACCCAATGCTCATTCTGTGAGGAACAACCAAATTGTTTTCTGCAGCAAGGGCATCATTTTCTATTCCTAGCAGCCAGTTCATGAGGGCTCCAACTTCTCCACCTCCTTAGCAACATTTATTTTCTGTGTCATTGTTATGAAACCCTTACTTGTGGGTGCAGAGCGGCATGAATGAAGTCAATTAACATGTTTATTACCTCACAGAATAGTTACCTTTTTGTGTGCATGTGTGGGATAAGAAAACTTAACTCTATCCCCTGTGACTGAATAGTGGCCATTCCAGCTGCTCCAGGCTCCAGCAGAGGAAGACCGGGGTAGGTGGCTCCACCAGGGTGATCCTCAGGTCTGGCGCTCACGCATTCCAGAGGCCACCCAGACCATGCTCCGCCGCCTGGGCGCCCAAGCTGCAGTCGCCCTCTGTGTGCAGGCAGCAGCTGCCTGGCAACCCCCGAGCCCGCTCGCGCTCCCACCATAATATCCAGGGAGGGAGAGAATGATTTTATTTTATTTTTTTTGAGACAGACCCTCGCTCTGTCGCCCAGGCTGGAGTGCAGTGGCCTGATCTTGGCTCACTGCAAGCTCCGCCTCCCAGGTTCACACCATTCTCCTGCCTCAGCCTCCCTAGTAGCTGGGACTACAGGCGCCCACCACCGCGCCCGGTTAATTTTTTGTATTTTTAGTAGAGACGGGGTTTCACCATGTTAGCCAGGATGATCTCGATCTCCTGACCTCGTGATCCACCCACCTCGGCTTCCCAAAGTGCTGGGATTACAGGTGTGAGCCACCGCGCCTAGCCAGAGAGAATGATTTTACTCCCCATATCGCAGGGGATTTACATTCCCCTGCGTTATTTTTCATAATATCCAGGGGGAAGATGAAGATATTACTCCCCATATAGCATGGGAGAACAAATCCCTGCGATATTGTTCATAATATCTCTGGGGGGAGAGAATGATATTTCTCCTTTTATTGCAGGAAGTGTACACCCCCCTTGCGATATTGTTTATAATATCTAGTGGGGGAGAGGACGATGTTACTCCCCATATTGCAGGGTGTGTACAACCCCCTAGAATATTGTTCATAATATCCACGCGGGGAGGAGATGATGTTACTACCCATATCGCCAGGGTGTACTGCCCCCTGCCATATTGTTTGTAATATCCAGGCTGGAAAAGGATGATATTACTCCCTGTATCACAGGGGATGTACACCTCCCTGTGACGTAATATCCAGGGTGGGAGAGGAGTATATTACTCCCTATAAGGCAGAGTGTGTATACACCCCTCTGTGATATTGTTCATAATATCCACTGGGAGATATGATATTACTCCCAATATCGTAAACACCTCATGTGTACACCATCTGTGATATTGTTTGTAATATCCAGTAGGGGAGAGGATGATACTACTTTCCACATCCCAGGGGGTTTACACCCCTCTGTGATACAGTTTGTAATATCCAGATGGGGAGAGGGTTATATTACTCCTCATATCGCAGGACACGTACACCCGCCTGTGATATTGTTTGTAATATTGTTCCCAATATCATTTTCCCCCATGGATACAGGAACAGCATCGCATAGGACTTGTACACCCCCTGCCATACTGGGAGTAGTAGTGTTTTATCCCTTGCTGGACATTAGGAACAATACCATGGGGGGGTGCACAGCCCCTGTGATATTGACAGTAATATAATCCACTATCCCCTAAATATAGGAAAAATATCACAAGAGGGATGTACACACTTGGTGATATTGAAAGTGATATGATCCTCTCCCTACCTGGATATTAGGAGCAATATCACAGAAGGGTTGTACACTCCCTGCGATATTGACAGTAATATCCTCTACCCCCCTGGATATTAGGAACAATATCACAGAAGAGGTGTACACCCACTGTGATACTGACAATTTCCTCTCCCCCCCTGGGGATATAAGGAACAATACCACGGGGGGGTGTACACCCCCTGTGATATTGACAGTAATATCATCCTCTCTCCCCCAGATATTAGTAACAATATCACCGAAGGGGTCTACAACCCCTGTGATATTGACAGTAATATCCTCTCCCCCCCAGATATTAGGAACAATACCATGGGAGGATGTACACCCCCTGTGTCATTGACAGTAATATCAACCTCTCCCCCCACCGGATATTAGAAAGAATACCACGGGGGCTGCACACCCCCTGTGATATTGGGAGTAATATCACCCACTATCCCCTAAATATTAGGAACAATATCACAAGGCGGGGAGAACACCCTCTGCGATATTGGGAGTAATGTCATCCTTTCCCTGCCCCTGCATACTAGGAATAATATCACAGGGGATGTACACCCCCATGCGCTATTGGGAGTAACATCACCCTTTCTTCCCATGGATATTAGAAACAATATCACAGAAGTGGTGTACACACGCTGCACTGTATAGAACAAAGCAGGCGGAGGAAGGTGGGATAACCTTGCTAGCTGAAGCTTCTGGCTCTCTTTTTTTCTTCTTCCCGTGCAGGAAACTTGCTTCCCTTCTTCCTGCCCTTGGACATGAGACTCCAGGTTCTTATACGTTTGGACTCTGGGACTTGCACCAGTGGCTTCCCCGAGGCTCTCAGGCCCCCGGCCTCAGACTGAAGACTGCACTGCGGGCTTTCCTGGTTTTGAGGCTTTTGGACTTGGACTGAGCCACTACTAGCTTCTCTCTTTCCCTACCTGGCAGACAGCCTGTTGTGGGACTGCCTTCTAACCGTGTGAACCAATTCTCTCTGGTAAACTCCCTTATACATATACGTGTATCTTGTTGGTTCTGTCCCTCTGGAGAAACCTGACTAATACATTTTGTATATTTTTCCTCCACTGCCCTTTCCTCTGCTTCTAGGCTTACCTAGACCACCACCATTCTTTCCCCCTTTCTAAAGTAAAAGTTGTTTTTTTCTCACTAAATGCATGGTATTCTGCCCATTTTCCATGGCTTCCCTCAGCCCTGCTCTGTTTATTCTTGCTATCTTAAGAGGAAATCCCTGCCTCTTTCATGGCTTTTCTCACTTGGTCTACTTACTGGTTTCTGTTGTTCTCAGAGACACACTGAGACCTTTCACATCTCACTGTCACTTCTTGGAAGGGCTCTCTACCTCGTCTGCCTGCTGAGCAACCTCTTGGAGTGACGCGGGCACTCTTGAGTCACTGAACTTGAGCTATTTGGTGTTAGTATGTTAATTTATCTTCTTAGACCACTTACCACTTCCTTAACTTCAAAAGAAAAGAATAAGTATTATTTTCCATGGTTGATATGAAGAGTAGAAATAACTTATACAAAATACATTGCAGTTAAGTGATAATAAATGGCTGTGAATGTCCTTATTAATGTTATTCTATCAGTCTCAGCTCAGATACCATCTGCTCTGTGAGCTCTGCTCTGAATCATATCTGCTTCTTCTCTGGGTTCCTTGTGCTCTGTTCTTAACTACTTTAAAGCAGTAATTGTTCTGATTCTAATTAGTGATGCTTCCCAATAAAATTTTAATTTTGTAGATCTCTTCCCCCCACCCCTGCCCCAGCCTAACCAGTGTTTTCTTACTTTTTTGTGTACAGGCTACATCACTGGTCTTCTTTTATTTGTGGCTAAATAAATGTTGTGTTAGAAGAGTAAAGAGTTCCCAGTTACATGGGATCTATAGTTCTACAAAATGAATGTATACATAATCCATGTAAATACTTCACTTATTTTAAAACAATTTTTTAATTTTTAAATTAAATTTAATTTGTGCATGTGTGTGAGACCAGAGTGAGAACAGAGATGGCGGTGGTGAGGGGCAGTGGTCTCACCATGTTGCCCAGGCTAGTCTTGAACTCCCCTTCAAGTGCCACCCTCCTCACCTGGCCCCCCTCACCTTGCCTCCTCCCCTCTCACTCCTATGCCAACTCCTGCCATTCCCTACCCCCTCTGTAGACTGCAAGACTCATCAAGTGACTTGCTGAGCAAACTCTGCTGAGAAGAGATCTGTTTAGGGACACAGGAGGCCAAGTACACAAAAAAGCAAAAGAACTAGCATGCCTTTTTCAATGGATGTCTATTTTACAGGGCTGGCTTCAGATTATTATAGCTTTAAATAAAAGGACCGTTTTGTCATCTCGGCCCATGGCCTACATTATTTCTTTACTGTCCATTGCCCTGGGCACTTGACTAATAATTTAACAGCAGTTTTTTTTTTAATTTTAAATCATGATTCATTGCATTGCTGTAAGAGTAATTAGAGGTAAAGTAGGGCTTGAAACTGCCTGTAGTTGGTTACTTACTGAGATCTTAGCATCATTGTCAGGTGAGAGGGTGAAGTTTTAATTAGCGCTAAGTGGGATAGAAATTCAATGCACTGAAACTGCAGTGTCCAATTCAGTAGGTGCTAGTCACCTGTAACTGTTGAGCACTTGTAATCCTGGCTAGTCCTAATTGAGATGTGTTGTGTTAAATACACTGGATTTTGTCGTTGGAGTGGGAAGAACAGTGTAGAATATCTGCTTGATTTTTTTTATATTTATTACATGTTAAAATTATTACTATGATTACTATTTGGGACATACTGAGTTAAGTATATTTAAAATTAATTTCACCTTTTCTTTTAATGGGGCTTACTAGTACATTTAAAATTACATACGTGGCTCACATATTTATTGGACAGCACAGCTCTAGAAGTTTAGGAAGAAATAAGAAAAATATTGAGAATAGGTAGCGACAGTAGGAAGTTTGACCTCCTGTAAGACTGATTCCAATAAAACTAATAGGTGATAGTTTTAATTGGCTTTTTCCTACTAGAAGAAGTAAGTGTACTTTACATGCCTCTTTGTTCTCCCTCTTTCCCCTTCAATTTAGTGGTTAGCGTGTATTTACTACATCAGGCTTAATATTCACTAAACAGTGTTAGGAAGACTTAGGTAAATGATTCCCTGATGAACACACTTGATATTCAAAGCACTTTCCTAACCCATTTTTAATTGGAATAGAGTCAAATGTAGATGGCTTATTAGTAGTCATCTCATTTAAATCTCATGGAATTTTCCTACTAAATCTCAAAGTAAACAATTTGTTATAGGCTGTTTTGTCAAGTTTATGGAAGGGACAGCATAGGACATGTGGTACTTCATTTCCAAATTGCTTGAGATGGTTTTCATTATAATCATACATTATTTGCTTCTGGTTTTCCAGAAAAGCCAGCTAAACCTGTGGTTCATTTAGATATAAATGAAATATCCACAAAGGATTGCTCAAAGTGACTTATGCAACTTGAATATATATTTTTTCTGTAGGGTGTTTATTCCAAATTATCTGGCCATTTGCTGCAATTTGCAGTTTTTTAGAAAACACCAAATATTTCTCAAGTTAGAGATGTTTTAATAAAAACAGTCATATTGTACTGGCAGCAGACAAATAAAATGGCCCTTTATTTCACAGTTGAGAATTTGAAATTGGAAGGTAATTAACATATGTAAGGATGATGTATTTGCTGCCTGGCTTATAGGAATGAGCCAAGTTGTTTTTTGAGGTATGTTGTTGCTGTGTATGTCCCACCTATTTTGCTTCCTTAATGAACAATGCAAGTTTGAGACAGAAATATTTGAGAACATTTTTATCAGTTGTGACATTTTGATAGTGAACATTTTATATCTTCTGTCAACTTAAAATGTTTGCATCTTCTGTCAGCTTAAAATGTTTAATTTGTTATAGCCAAATAATTTGGCTATAATTGATAATTTAATTTATCAAATTAAATTGCTTTTTTTCCCTTTAGACTTTCTTCAGTCACATCTGAATAAATCCCTTAGAAGTAAGCTAGATGTAATATAATGAAATGCTTAAAAGGGCTGTGTATCTTCATATTACACTTACAGTGATTTTCTCTTGTGCCCATTATATTCTACCTGCAGCTAGTTGAGGTAAAGAGAGGGCATTTAACTGTCAAGGGAACCTGTGAGGAGACTGTAGAAATCTGGAAAGTCTCTTGAGTCTTTGAGGGATTTTGGGATGCAGAGAGTGGGGCTGGGATCTCTGGCTAGGTTGGAGCCAGCCTGCATTTGTATCTTTATCTTGGAAGCAAACTTAGAATGCAGAGATAGATGTGGCCTGGATGCTGCTAACTCTAGCCAACCACTAAATCTTAAGGTGGGAGAGATGCAGCCTTTGGCTGGGTGCTAAGCTGCTGTAGCTGGTTGAATGTAGAGGTCACTATCTTTTCTGAATATTTGTAAGTAAATTAAATCATTCTTTACTCCTGTATGCCTGCCAACCAAATGGGAAATCGCTATAGAAAAGATGGTTTAAATTTTAGTCTTTGAAGTGGTTTATGCACGTTTCTGGAATCAAGATTTAACGCGGACTTGGATTGGATATTGAATATTTTTGATTTGTCTACTTTTCTCTCCATAGGGAGCTTATAGCTTCATTGCACTGTGTGTGGCATTTGGGTCCTGTTTGACAGCAATGACTGCCTTTCTGTTTAGTGTCTGTGTGCTATGAAGATTGCACACAGGGGTCCAGATGCATCCTGTTTTGAGAATGTTAATGGATACACCAGCTGCTGCTTTGGATTTCACCCATTGGTGGTAGTGGACCCGCTGTTTGGAATGCAGACAATTTAAGTGAAGACATATCCATATATGTGGCTCTGTTACAATGGTGAAATCTACAACCATAAGAAGGTAGGGGAAAAGAAGCCAGATGTGTGGATGTGATTAAACTTCAGAGCTTGTTGGTTACGATGAGATTATATATTCTGTATCATGCTTTTTACTTTGCAAAGCATTCTATGTTATCTCATTTGCTCTAAGTATGTAGATAGGGAACTGATGAATAAAATGGTGAGTGAAATCACTTGGTCACAAAAAAGTGATAAAAATGGGGATTACACAGTTTCTTTGACTCTTAGAATTTTTTCTCCTTCTCCCCAGCTTTTTGTTTTGAAAAAAATTCTAACATACAGAAAAGAACAGAATAGTGAGCACCTAGATTGAATAATCATTAATGTTTTGCCATATTTGCTTGATTTTTCTTTCTACACACACACACACACACACACACATACACACACACACACAGTTTTTTGCCAAATCATTTGAGAGTATGGTGCAGATTTTGTGACACTCCTAAATATATAAGCATTTATCTCCTAAGAATAAGGACATTTTTCTACATAACATCAATACCATTATTAAACCTAAGAATCCATAATATCACCTGGCTGGGTGCGGTGGCTCACGCCTGTAATCCCAGCACCTTGGGAGGCTGAGGTGGGTGGATCACGAGGTCAGGAGGTTGAAACCATGCTGGCTAGCACGGAGAAACCCCATCTCCACTAAAAATACAAAAATAAAAAAAATCAGCCAGGCGTGGTGGTGGGCACCTGTAGTCCCAGCTACTCGGGAGGCTGAGGCAGGAGAATGGTGTGAACCTGGGAGGTGGAGCTTGCAGTGTGCTAAGCTTCAGCCACTGTACTCCAGCCTGGGAGACAGAGCAAGACTCTGTCTCAAAAATGAAAAAAAAAAATCATAATGCCACCTAATATCCAGTTAATACTTAAATTTCGCTAAGTGTCTGGAGAATTTTTTTGTTTTTTGAGACAGAGTCTCAACTTTGTCACCCAGGCTGGAGTGCAGTGTTGCGATCTCGGCTCACTGCAACCTCTGCCTCCTGGGTTCAAGCAATTCTCCTTCTTCAGCCTCCTGAGTAGCTGGGACGACAGGCCCACCTGTCACCATGCCTGGTTAATTTTTTGTATTTTAGTAAAGACTGGGCCCAGGGTGGTCTGGAACTCCTGAGCTCAGGGAATCTGCTCACCTTGGCCCCTCAAAGTGCTACCAAGAATATCTTTATAGCTGGTATTTGTTTGTTTAGAGCCAGATTTCATTCAAGATTCATGCATTTGGTTGTGATGTTTCTTGGTATTTTTTCTGAGACTTCTTGATAGATACCTGTCAGGCACTGATAGAGAGTTATATCCTAACCATGTTTTGGACATTTTTATCTCTGAATAATAGCTTTTGTCATTGTTTGTTGCCTGCTCACGGGAACACTCTTAATAATAGTCTTCTTGTTCAAAAAGTTTTAAAATAGTTATTCAAGAAATTCCTTTCACACATTTCTTTATTCCTTTATTAAGGACCTAATATGCACCAGATATCATTTTTCTAGGTGATTGTAGATGAAATGGTGAAAAGGAAAGGCAAGAATGGAATTTCCTGCTAGTGGGAAGTAGAAGAGAGTATTAAAACTTTTTTCTTTCTAAGTCAAATCAGTGTCATATGCATGAGAAAGCTAGGTAGTATGATGGCATTATCAGCTTGGCTTTCTCCTTAAATGAAATAGGAAGTGCTCTGTTTTACTCAGATAGTGTTTTTTTTTCTAAAAAGCTAAAATAAGTTAAATATTTTGAAATTAATTAATTTCTGTTCTAAATTAGTCAAAAGTTATATTTGTAAAACTAGAGAAGTTTGTTCCATTGCTTCTACCAAGCATCTCAGCTTATGTAGTTGGGGCAGCTAGAAATCTAATGAACAGAATGCATATTTTAGGCTTATATAAAGTATTCTGCAACATAAGGTCAAAAATACCCCCTACCCCCTTTTTGATAAAAATAAAGCTTACTACTAATAATAAAATACAGCCAGAGGTGTGCTGGGAGTGGAGGGGGACTGAGTTAAAGAAAGTAGGAATGGGGTAAAGGCTGGGGCAAAGAGCAGACTCTCTCCCTGCAGGGGAGTATCAGGGGTCTGCAGCCAAGTTAAATGACAGCATGACTTCAGGAGGCCAGATTTGAGGGCTTTTATCTAAGATGCAGCATCGGAGTTTGGTTTAAGAGAGTAGGAAGTGATACATCTGTTACCCAAAGGACACTTCTCTTTTTAGAATAAATTACCTGCAGAGTTTAGGCCAAAGAGGTGGGCAAGGTAGATTTGGGAAACTGTTGCTTGCTAATATCACCAAACGCTTTCTTTTTATACTTGGTGGAGGCTTTAATTGGGGCAAGGACATTTTTATACAAAGATAGAGAAAACAATCACCTATGGAATTTGATTCCTTGCTCCATGCCCTCGCTAGCACCTCTCAACATGCTTGATGATATTTAAAATTTCTTCCTAGGGAAAAAACTTTTCATCCCACAATTAGAATCAGGCTTAACTTGCTTTTTGAAAAGGTAGTAGGCAATTTGTGTTAAGATCTAAATTACCAAGATTTTTATATCTTGAAACAGATTTAGATGATAGAGTGAGGTCGGTGGTGGTGGTGGTTGGTGGGAAGGGGTAGTTTTTTAGAGAGGGTATTAAGAGTTGGGGTTTTCAATGTGAGAGAGGTGAAGGTTTGAAAATAAGTAAGAAAAGCACTAAAAGGGTGAAGTCAAGGGCCTCAGAGAGCCAGGATGATAGATTCTATTTCACAGTTTAACACAGGATCACCATAGACCAAAGCAAGTTTATAACTAAGGCAATGAAGATCATCTGTCTCCTCCCTTCCCCATTAATTGTGAACTTTAGTTTTATAAGCTCCTAAGAGGCAGAAAACAAATTGGAGACTCGTCATCTATTTGGGAGTGTATGGCATGTATTTATTGTCCTAGGTGCTGGGTTTATTTTTTTCAGCTAATGACAGTTTTCCATGCTTTATGGTAAGTGACCATAAAGTAAGTGGTAAGTGACTTACCCTTCAGGCAGTTCAGCCCAGGACAGTCAGCAGAAGACTGTTTCCAGACCCCACCTGCTAGTTACAGATCATCCCTGATAGAGCAGAGAGGGGTGACCAGGTAGTGACTTTATAGTCACTGGAGGCAAAGCCCATTTTTGGACAGTTCATTGAGGGCTTACAGATAAAAGGTTCACAAATTATGCAGTGAGCTGGATGGAGTGTGAAGCGTATTTATGGGTCGTGCACATACATAATAGGTTTACTTTTTGAGATTTCAAAACATGTTTTAAACTTAACCTAGGATTCCCACCTGATTTAAACCTCTTATTTCTCTAATGTCAGCCAAAAATGTGAGTATGACATACAAAGAGAAATACATCAAGGACTTTTCATCCTCATAGTTTGCCAGTGATGCTGGAGAGTGTCAGAATTGGTGAGTAGCCTAATCAAACTTTCTTGCTCTGCATGCAGTGGCAGACAGTCCCTTTGCTGTTCCTTTGGGGCATGCAGACTAATAAAGTGCCACCATCATTTTATCTCTCAGTGAGCAGTAGTTTTAATGCTACTGCAGTGGTGGGAGCACTGGGCGTTGTCGTCCTCACCTGAGGACAAGCAGCTTTGTTTTGGATCATGTATCTGTTATTGTGATGGAGCCATTTATTTTTCAGGGAATGACGCCAAATGATGTTTGTCCCTTTGCTTTACATTTTTATAGCTAGGTCTTTGAAGCTGAACTGGAGGAACTTCTTAGCCAATACTGTCTTCTTAAACCAAAAGTTGACAGTTGCAGAAGACACGTTTTTTAGTGTCACGGCAACCAAGCAACATATTACCTTAAATTAAATTTACAGGTTGAGCATCCCTAATCTGAAAATCTGAAATTTGAAATGCTTCAAAATCTGAAACTTTTTGAGCACTGACATGACACCACATGTGGATTTTGATGTCCTAGTCAAAGTGCAGGTGAACAACACACAGTTTATTTGATGTTCTCTAATGAAAAAAGACCCTCTCAGCCCCCTTCAGCTGCAGTATAACTTTTCTACACATGCTCAGATTTCCCCATGCAAGCACACACACAAAGGGTCACAGAATGGCACATGTGCAAGCTGGACAAGCCAATGGCAGGATCCCCACAGATGGGACCTAAGTGCATGACTCGTTGTGTATTTTTCTTATTCTCTGCTCTGTGGTGTTAGCATACTGAAAATGTCAATAAGGCCTGTAGATATCCCTGCGAGCAGCAATGATAAGGAAAAGTAGAAACACTTAGAACACAGAAAGTCAAGCTGTTGGAGAAATTGGACTGTAGTGTAAAGGTATAGATGACATGGTGAAAATGTGTGATAGAGATATTGAAGATATTGAAGGACTAGAGCTACCTGCATTCATAACAGAACAAGAGGTCATGTCAGTTTATAAAATTAAAGAGAGACTTCCAAGACAAAAGCCCTTGATAATGAGGCAGATGACTCTGGAGAAACATTATAAAAAACCATCTGGCAGAATGCCTCCTCAGCCTCAGAGGACTCACCTCCTAGTTGCTCAACTCCTGATATTTCTTCTCACCTAAAAAAAGAAAAAAAATACAATGTACAGTAACCTTTTAATCAAAACGCAGCCTTGTAGGTGGAGCCTGAAAGCTTGCCATTGTTTATACAGCTGTTTAACAGCTGATGCAGGTATTCTGGTGATGCTACTGTGTTGCTTATTATTTTTTACTGTATTAATGGCATGTCATATTTTTACTTATGTGTGAATAATTGTGTGAAAATGATTGCTCATCAGTAGCATATAAATTCAGAGTCAGAAATGATGGTCAGTGATGTCAGACAGCCACAGATTTTCCACATGGAAGCTGAGATAGTGACACCTTTGCTTTCTGATGGTTCCATGTACACAAACTTTGTTTCATTCACAAAATTATTTGAAATATTATATAAAATTACCTGTAGGCTATGTGTATAAGATATATGAAACATAAGTGAATTTCACATTTAGACTTGGGTCTCATCGCCAAGATATCTCACGTAGATGCAAATATTATAAAATCCAAAAAAAAATTCCGAAACCCTAAACACTTCTGGTTCCAAACATTTCAGATAAGGGATACTCAATCTGCATATATAAAATATTTATGTATCACATACATAGTATGTATAAAATATGAATTTCCATTCCTCTACAGGTTACTATTCTGGTACATTCCCGTTATATTCTGTTTATCAGACTGCAACTAAAACTTTCATGGGTTCAGCTTTATGTTGAACAGAATTTGCAGAATTATGAGTTGAAGCAAACCCTAGGTTGATAATGCTGTGATTCTCCTAAATCACCAAAGTGCATGAAATGATTTTAAAGCTCCAGAAATACTGAAGCAACTTTGTGATAAAAATTATTAGTGGATGCACAAGGAGTCTATAATGTCTTGGTTTTGCTATTGCTTACTAAGGTGCAGCACCAGTTTGAATTTGAATACCAGACCAAAGTGGATGGTGAGATAATCCTTCATCTTTATGACAAAGGAGGAATTGAGCAAACAATTTGTACGTTGGTTGGTGTGTTTGCATTTGTTTTACTGGATTCTGCCAATAAGAAAGTGTCCCTGGACAGAGATACATAAGGAGTCAGACCTTTGTTTAAAGCAGTGACAGAAGATGGATTTTTGGCTGTGCGTTCAGAAGCTAAAGGTAATAGTAAATTTACGTATAGATTTTCATTATTGTCTTGGTCGTGTGTTTTCTTTTAAATTATATCTGAAAATCTCTTAGCAATCCAGAATTTTACAAGTGACTAATTAAGTTGTGAGTTCTTACCTTTTTTAAAAAAACAGAGTAGTTTTACTCTCCTTTTCAGCACTTAAATTCTGTAATCCTTGAAGGATGGGTCTTTAGTGTAGTCATTTATTTTTGGTGTGCTAATATGCTCTGCATATAGCTTGATCGTAAGTGCAGTTTTAAGTTTTCCTGTGTCATACTGTAATGATAGGGTTGGCTCTGCAATTATTGCCCTGCAGTACTTTGCTGAAGTTATAGCACAGCAAATATTAGGATTTCTAAAACAGCTTTATTGGCAGTTTACATGCCATGTAATTCACCCACTCGAAGTATATAGTTCAGTGGTTTTCAGTATATTCACAGATGTTGGGAACCAACACTCCAATCAATTTTAGAATTGTTTTTCCACCTCAAAAAAAAATCCTATGCCCTTTAGCTTATTTTCTTTCTATTTATTTATTTATTTTAAGAGATGGGGTCTTGCTCAGTCGACCAGCCCAGGCTGGAGTACAGTGGTGTAATCATAGCTTAGTGCAGCCTTGAACTCCTGGGCTCAAGCAATCCTCCCATCTCAGCCTCCCTAGTAGCTAGGAGTACAGGCATGGACCACAACACCCTGCCTCCTGTGCCGTTTAGCTTTCAATTCTGTCTCTCCACATACATCATCTGCACCCCCGCAGTTGTAGCACTGGCAATCACCAATCTTTCTGCCTCTGGATTCCCTATTGCGTGTGTTTCATATAAATGGGATTATCTATCATATGGGCTTTTGTTACTGGATTCTTTCACTTGGCATAATGCTTGCAAGGTTTGTCTATGCTGTGACATGTATCAGTACTTACTTTTTATGGCCACATGATACTCTGTTACATGGATACACTGGATTTTGTTTATGCACTTGTCAGTTGATGGATATTTAGGACATTGTTTACCCCTTTTGGCTATTATGAATAATGCTGCTATAAACATTGGTGTATAAGTTTTTGTGTAGATATTTGTCTTCGGTGTTTATCTAGGAGCAGAATTGCTCAGATGCATATAACTGTCTAATTGAGGAACTGCCAAACTACTTTTTGAAATGGCTGCATTATTTTTTATTCCCTCCAGCAGTGTATTAAAATTTCAGTTTCTCCACATCTTCACAAACACTTACTGTGTGACTTTTTAATTGTAGCTATTATAATGTATGTGAAATTGTATCTCCTTGTGGTTTTGATTTGTATTTTCCTATTGAAGGTAGTGTCTTTTCTCATGCTTATTGGCCATGTGTATATCTTCTTTGGGGAAATATTTGTTGAGATCTTTTGTCATTTTTTTTTCCTGCTAGGGATCATTTTATTTTAAAAACAATAGACTTTTTTTTAGCAGTTTTAGAAAAAATAGAGAGAAAAGTGCAGAGAGTCCACATATGCTCCCTTACAGTGCCCCTGCCCAGTTCTCCCAACTCTTAACACCTTGCGCTACTGTGCTAAATCGATTAGATTTGATGAACTGATACTTATATCTGAAATTCATAGTTTACTTCAGGGTTCACTCTGTGTTTTATAGATTTTTGGATTTGACAAATGTATAATGTCATGTACCCACCATTACAGTATTATGTAGAACAGTTTCATTGTCCTAAAAATCTCCTGTGCTCCACTGAGTCATTCCTCCCCCTCCTCTTCCTCCCAAACCCCCGGTCATTACTAATCTTTTTACTCTCTAATTTTGCCTCTCCCAGAATGTCATATAATAGATCATGTAGTATGTATCCTTTTCAGACTGGCTTCTTTCACCCAGCAGTATACATTTAGGGTTCTTCTGTGCTTTTTCATGGCTTGATAGCTCATTTTTTAAATTGCAGAATAATATTCCATTTGTTTGCATGTATTGCAGTTTGTTTATCCATTCTTGAATTGTCTATCTCTAATTGGGTTGTTTTGTCTTTTTATTACAGAATTGTAATTGTTCCTTATGTACGCCAGACACAAATCCCTTGTGTTCATCAGGGTTGCAGGATACAAGATCAATATACAAAAATCAATAGTATTTGACACACTTTAACTGAGTACTACATACTCACAATGAGCAATCAGAAAATGAAATTAAGAAAGCAACTTCATTTATCATAGCATCAACAAGAATAAAATACTGATATATTTAAGAAGTGTAAAACTTGTACTCTGAAAACTATAGAACATTTTTGAAAGAAATGAAAGAAGATCTAAATAAATGTAAAAGTATCCCATGATCATGGACCTAAGGCTTAACATTGTTAAGAAGGCAATACTCCCTAAACTCATCTACAAATTTAACTTCATCCCTGTCAGAATCCCGGATGAGTTCTCTGTAAAATGGACAAGCTGACTCTGAAATTCATATGGAATTACAAAGGACTAGGAATAGCCAAAATAATCTTTTGAAAATGAGAACAAAGTAGGAGAACTCATACTTACTGACTTTAAAACTTACTACAAGTCAGTGGTAATCAGGACAATATAATACTGGCAGAAGGATAGATGTATAGACCAGTGGGATAGAATTGAGAGTCAGATATGAACCCATACATATATAACCACTGCTTTTGACAAGGGTGCCAAGATTATTCAGTGGGGAAAGAAGTTTGAGAACTCTCACAAGGACAACTAGATATGTAAACATATGCAAATCCTGGAGTAGGACCTTTACCCAACACCACATACAAAAACTATGGATGCAAAAAAAGTGGATCAAATGGATCCATTTTGAGCTAATCCACGTAAATGTAAGGACTAAAACTATAAAATCCTGAGAAGCAAACATAGGAGTAAATTGTCATGACCTTGAATTTGGCAAAGTTTTCTTAAATATGAGACCAGCAACAAGAATAAAAATTGATGAATTGGACTTCATCAAAATTAAACATTTTTGCACTTCAAAGGACACCATCAAGAAAGTGAAAAGACAACTCACAAGATGGAAGAAAATACTTGTAAATCATGTGTAGCACTTTTTGATGATAAACTTGAGGAAGACTTTTTTATTTTTTATTTTTATTATACTTTAAGTTCTAGGGTACATGTGCACAATGTGCAGGTTTGTTACATATGTATACATGTGCCATGTTGGTGTGCCGCACCCACTATCTCATCATTTACATTAGGTATATCTCCTAATGCTATCCCTCCCCCCACCCCACGACAGGCCCCGGTGTGTGATGTTCCCTATCCTGTGTCCGAGTGTTCTCATTGTTCAATTTCCACCTATGAGCGAGAACATGTGGTGTTTGGTTTTCTGTCCTTGCGATATTTTGCTCAGAATGATGGTTTCCATATATATATATGTCAGTTGCCAGGACTGCTGGGCAAGCCTGGGAAAGAGAGTACCTGGGGAAAGCAGCCTCCTGCTCCCCCGTGCCTTCTTTGAGCCTGATGTTCATTTGATGTGGTAATATATAATCACATCCAGTTTACCCTTTGAAATTCCTTGATTGTTCTTTTCTATTTCCTTGACACTGTCCTTTTACAGACCACATAATCTTATCTGGAATACTACAACAGTTTTCTTTTCTCAGTGATTTTAGAATAACCTGTCAAAAACTCATCTGACTATAGTAGTACCTGCTTACAACCTTTTAATTACTCCCCATTCCCTACCAGGCTGTGTAGCTCACTTGAGCTCTGCTAGGTGGTGAGGGAATCTGGGTCCTTTTTCTGGTATTTGAATTCAGTGCTACGTAGGTTACTGGCTGGGTTGACAATCTGAAATTGTAAATCATGAGTATTCTATGTAGATAGACTGTCACGATTTACAATAAAACATTGACATGTCAAAGATCATGGTGATGTGAGGTTGGGTACTGTCTGTGAGAATTAATTGAGGAAATTAAAATTATATGGTTTTATTTACATAGAGTGTATAACAACTAGTTAAGGGATAGATGTCTTCTTATCTGACTTTCAAGTATCTAAGAGTGGATTATTGTGCTTGTTAAAGTTCTGGGAACCATGGCTATTTTCTGAAAATACCTCAGTGATGACAAATGAATGACTACCAGCCTCTTGTAACATTAGGACTCCAGTTCATCCCTTTGCTTCATAGGTGTGTCTTTTCCTTTTGTATATATTTGCTTTAGTGTAGAAAATAGGTTTTCTTGATTAGAAATCTAAGAAGAATAAATTGAAAACTGGAGATTTTTCTATTGCTTTGGATTACCAAAATTAATGTAATTTGGCACTATATCCCTGTGCCATTATTGTCTCTCTGGTAAGTAGATGGTAGGGTTTTGGGTGATTAAATTTTTTTCCCTATTTTGCTTATTTAATGGGCATATGTTTGTATTAAAAAGGGGAAAATAAATAGGAATGTAGAAGATGTTAACTAATCGTGAAAGTTATTGGGAAGGGTTACCTAATTTAAAAGTTGGCCAGCCATGGCAGCACTGCCTGTAGTCCCAGCTGTGGGGGAGGCTGAGGCAAGAGGATGGCTTGAGTTCAGGGGATAGAGGTTACAGTGAGCTATGATTGTGCCACTGCATTTCAGCCTGAGGGACAGAGCCAGACCCTGTCTCAGAAAAACCTAGAACAGCAACAAACAGAGAGAGGAGCCTGGACGGACTGAGCAATATTAGTGTCCGGGAGCTGCTGTAGTGATGGCTTATGACATCAGGAATTTATTCTCTCACAGTTCTGGAGGCCACAAGTCCAAAATCAAGGTGTGGGCAGAAATGCGCTCCCTCTGCAGACTCCTGGGGAGGATGCTTGTTTCTTCCAGCTCTGCGACTGTGGTGCCTGCAGCCATTGGAACCAGCTCTGCACGGCTCAGACCTGGGTGATGAGGACACAGCTTTGCAGGTGGGCAGCCACATCCCCAGGGGGAGACTGTGGGCCTGTGGCAGGGTAGGGGCAACCAGTGCAGGGGCTCCCCATTGTTGCCCCTGAGCTCCTGGGGCTTGTGGAGAAAGACAGGTGGATGCACACATACTGCAGCTCCCTGGATCTGAGCCTTGGTTTCCCTACCTGTGAAATGGGCACCCATGGCAGCTCAGAAGTGTCTGGGAGCATCCCCTGTGGGGGAAGGTGTGGGGGGCTGCTGGGGCACAGTCATGGGGAACCCCAGTCCCCCTCTCCATGTGCTTCCCTCAATGCTCCCTGATGCCAGCAGTCCTGCCCCCGAACAGAAAGGGGCATTCCTGTGAGTTCCTTGTGTGGGGGACTGGTCACAGAGACTCCCCAAGTGCAGGGCAGGGTGGAGGGAGGCTGAGGGGTGGTTGAATGGACAGGAGAAGAGCTCTCTCCAGTCCCTTGGGTCTGGGTGGCCTGGGGAGCATCCATTTGGGCAGGCAGCTGGTGGGGCTGGTGGCTGAGCCACTGTGGCTCGGGGACCCCAGGCCAGGACAGAGTAGGGTGGGCAGGGAGAGCAGAGTGCGAGCATATGGGGCAGGACAGGTGTCTCCTGGACAGAAAGAGCCCTGGTCACTCATGGCTGCAGCATAGCCATGGCGACAGGAAAGTGCTGCTGTACATTGTGCTCCTGGGGCTGGCTCCCAATGGACACCCAACAGCATCTCCCCCATTGTACTGTGGGATGCTGGCAGTGGTGCTGGGCACTGGGGTAAGAGCCTTGGCAAGCCCTTCGCTCCCTGGGTGTGAGACTTTGGGCTCCTGGATGCCTGGGTTTCTGTGTCCTATTTTTCCCATGGAAGATGTTTGGGGTGCTCCCAGGAAATGGGGAGGGCCCTGGGGGGTCAGGATTGTATTATTAAAGCCAGAAAGTCTGGGGTTCCATTTTTAGCACAAGGCAGGCAGCCCATGAGCCCCAGCCCAGTGGCCAGCCTGTGTGGGAGGGGAGTGGGGGTCTGAAGGAGTGAGGCTTCTGTTACTGCAGGCTCCACAGCAGCCCCCCAGGGTGGCCCGTGTGGGCTGGACAGCGGTCACTGCACCAGGGGCTCTGGCGCCGACCTTGAGCCATGCATCTAATGCCTGTGAGAGTGATCTCTAGGAGCCACTGCACAAGGGGGCAGATGAGGGAACCCTGACATGGGACAGCCGAGGGCGACCCCAACACGGAGCGGGCAGCTGTGTCCAGGCTCCACTGGATTCCGCAGAGGACAGAACACAGCTCTGACTCCAGGGTGTGGGCTCACTGAGGGACAGGACAGGCTGGGGTTGGGAGAGGGCCATGCTGCAGCTGGGCCAGATCCCACCTGCACCCCTCAGATGGCAGGGCCTGGACGTCTCCATCCCCACCCTGACCCGGTCAGTAACAGCCATGGGCCAGCAGCCCCCAGCAACCCCTCCCTCTGTGAACTGCCAAGGACAGGAGGTACCACAGTCTCTTCCAGGCAAGAGCTGCTGGAGCCTTCTTTATTCTTGTGCTAGAAGCCCAGGGTGGGGAGAGGAGCCTGAGAACAGCCCAGTGTGGGCATCCACCTTCCTGCCCACTTTGGAGGTCTGAGTCACCTCCGGCCACTCTCCCAATCCCCAGGAGCCCAGAGGCTTCCTGGAGCAAGCCACACCTGATCTCCACCATGGGTAGGAGTTCAAGGCCAGGCCAACAGGGACTCCACAGAGGGGCCTGTGGGTTAGCAGCAGCTGCCAGTGTCCAGATGGCCTCAGGGGTGGGGGTTAGACAATCTGGAGGTCAGCAGGGAATTCAGCATGAGGAGACAGCCCTTAGGGTTCTGGCCCAGCAGCCCCAGGTGCTGGCTCTGCACTGAGTCATGAAGTTTGTGGGCCAGGGGCGTTGGCCTCTCTCTAGCTGAGAGTGACTTCCATCACTGCTGTCATTAGCCTCCCCTGCATCAACCTGTCCCTGGGGTGGGAGCACAGTTGGCACAGGGACCCTCAGGCCTTAGTTTTCCCTGCTGTAAAATGCATGTGATAGGCTGTCATGAGGTCTGAAGGAGTTAAAACCTGCCATGTGCTCAGGATGACACCTAGCTCGGTGCCTCCTACCCTGGTGCCACCATCCGGCATCAGAGATGAAATACTTCTCCCAGGCCCCCTCCCCTGGCACCCCCCACACTCAGCTCTCCATCAGCCACCCCCTCCAGGGTGGGACAAGGAGGTCCTGAGCCTGATGGGGACCTGACAGGGCTGGGCAGCGCCACCTGGGCCTGGGCGATAATGGGAGCCTGAGTGTGGGGCCTGCATGGAAGGAGCCATTGTTTCTTGGGCCTCTTAGTGGCTACTTCCCTAGAGTCTGGGAGAAGTGCTGCTGTTCAAGAGAGGACAGTGCCAGCAGCTCCTTCTGAGGCTGGGGTGGGCACAGCGTGGAGGGGCCTCACCTCCACCCACCTCCCATGGAGGTTCCTGGCTCTCCTGGAGGACTCCTTGCTACTGGGCTGAGGCACCAGGGCTGACCAGTCCCAGGATGGTGTTGGACAACCTGCATCCCCCTGCAGCAGGCAGGGAGGGCACTGCAGCCACCACCCACCCACACCTGACCCCTCCCTGGCCATCGTGTCTAGGGTGGCAGGGAGTGAAGCCCCCACCCAACAACCTCCCCCAGCTCAGGGGCCTTTGAGTTCACCACCATCTGCCTCACTGCAGGTTTCCCCTGTGCTGGGGGTGATTGCAGGGAGATGGTTCTTTGGCGTTCCCTGGGCAGGTCATTGCCTCAGCCCCTGCCTGGTGTCCTGGAGCAGCTTTGAGGAGCTACACGGACAGGACACCAACTGTCTGCAGCCCCCAGGTGAGGCTTGGCTGCTGTGTCCCACTGCTTCTGCTCCTGGCTGTCAAAGCCCCATGGTAACAGCATCCAGGGTGAATTTAAATGGCACCCCAAAGAATAAGAGTGGGCCTGGGTGTCACTGTAGTGGCTGGTGGCTTGTGACAAGTAGTGTGGCTTCCGTAGTGATGAGAAGTGACAGTTCCCCCTGAATCTGCACTGGAGAGAAGGTCCTGGAAGCTTTCAGGCCCACCCTCCAGGGTCTGGGTCTGCATCTCTGAGAGTGGCTGGGTGAGCAGAAGAATCCTGACTGCCTGGCAGTCGGGTTTGGAGCTGGGGAGGGCTGGGCCTGGTTAGCAATAAGCCTATCACAGTGAACCAGAGCTCAAGATAAAGCGAGAGGCCTAGCCCAGACACCTCCTTCCCTGGTCCCAGCCCCTGTGCCTTGGCCTGTGCAGTGGAAGCCAGGCTCCCTCCTCCAGGAAGTCTTCCCTGCACTTCCTGCTCACACACAGCCTCTCCCAGATTTCTCCCCATCCAGGCTGAGTAGGATTCCCAAGAAGGCTCCTCCCTGAGCCAACTGCCTGCAGTCAACATTATCACCTCCCCCAGTGAATGGCAGTAGTGTTTTTCATCTTCAGCAGTGGCCTCTGGAGGGGTCCTAGCAGGTCGGGGAGAGAGGTCTGAGTTAGTCCCACGTGAAAGGCAGCCCATGCCTCTCCTCCCAGCAACCCCTAGCAGCAACTTCCACCTGGCTGACCCCACCCAGCTCACAGAGTTGCCCAGCTGGGTGTCCTTGTGGTTGATTGGGGGGAAGGGGCTGTTACCTCCCGGTCCCCTTCAGGCTGAGACAAGAGCCCTGTGGGTCTGGATCTTGCAGATGGGACCCCCACCCACATGCTCTCCAGGTGGATGCCCACCCTGGGCTGTTCTCAGGCCCCTCTCCCCACACTGGGCCCACACCCCGGAGGGAACTCCATGTACCCCTGCCGATCTGCCCATCTGAGCCTCAGGGGTCCTGGGCACTGAGAGCTGGGCTGGGCTGAGCTCAGGTACACACTGTCATTGGGGACGGAGAGGGGATGCTGAAGTGGGTGCTTCTGCGTGGGGCCTGCCTGGAGGATCGCCACAGCAGGTGCACCCAGCAGCCAGACCAGCTTCTAGCAGAATAAGCGCACTGTCACAGGGGTATGTGAGCTGAGGCTGGGGGCCTGGAGGTGCAGGGAGAGGAGTTGGGGAGATGCAGAGGCCCCAAAGATGTCCCAAGTCCCTAAGACTCTGGTGAGGGAATGGAGGAGCCAGCACTGGTGGGGAAGTGGGCAGGGGGAACTGGATGGCCTGGCTCTGAGCTGGACACACGGTCTGCACCCACACTTGAGCTGTGCTGTGAAGGCCCAGTCCCCACCTGGGCATGTCCTGTCCTCTGAGGCACAGGGATTCCTCCCCCTCAGCTCTGACCCCTCATCTCCAACTGTTGGGATGACAAGTCCATAGGCAGAGCCAGCCTCACAGGGGACCCAAAGGCCAGTTCAGATGGACAGCAACTGGAGGTCCCACCGGGCACACACACACACTGTGCAGAAAGCTAACGCACTGTTTATTTGGGGGATTGGGGGGAAGCACCGTGCCGCTGCTCACTGGTAGCCAGCCAGCTGCAGAATGGTGGGGTAGCAAGTACGATGGGCCATGCACTTCTGGCGGTCGATGAAGAGACTGTTGGTCATGGCAGTGACGTCCTTCTCCAGGCTCATGTGGATGTCCTTGAGGTTGCGCAGGGACTGCTCCGCTTGTAGAAGCTTCTCCCGCAGCGCTGTGATGGACTTGTACAGCTCCTCCACCTCACTCACCAGCTTGGGGGTGTTGGGGGGTGTGAGCTGGGGCTGGGGAGGGCAGAAGTATGCACCTACTGGGGTGGAGGGGACCCAAAACTCCCAATGGGAGCTGGCAGGAGGTCCTGGGAAGACGCCATGAAAGGATCCTACCAGGAAAGCGGCTCTAGGGCAGAGCATAAATTACGAGGGTCCTCCCAGGGAGCGCGGGCCTGAGTGGGAATGAGTGACCCGCGTGCAATCTCGACCCTGACAGGACAGGACTGGCCTCAGCCGACCAGGCTCAGTTCTTTCCATTCCTGATATTTGACGGAAGGAGGCACCCAGTTCCTTGAAGGAACTGAGGGGCAGGGAAGGAAGAAAGGTACTTAGGCTCAGAAGGGGCCACCAGGCATCCGTTAACAAGGGAAACAAAAGGACGGCCCATCTATGCCTGTAGCCCAGGCGTAGGTCATACTTTCCACCAGAGGTGGGGACAGCACCCTCAGGGCAGCAGGGAATGGCCCTCTCTGGCCTCTCTGGCCCCGTGGCCTCCAGGAGCTCACCTTGTCTGAAGGAGCTTCCTCCCGGGAAGATGAGGTAGCACAGGGTGGGGTGAGACCACGTGGGCACAGGTCCCTGGCACGGGGAGGCCCCCGACCCATGACCTGCCCAGTGTCATGTCTATATCTGTGTGTTTAAGGCGTGCTTGCATGTTGTGTGTGGCCGCAGAGTCTCCCTCCCCTCTCAGCACCTGTGGGGGATGTGTGTGTGGAGATTGGAGTGTTTATTGGAGAGGGTCGCAGCGAGGAGGTGGATGGGGGCACCTGGGACTGCCTCAGAGGCCCAGGCAGTACCTGAACTGGGCTGCATCGCGGCACAGCTGCATGTTGGGCCGGTGTGAGAGCAACTACAGCCGGGTCTGGGCTATGTGCAGAGGTTCCTCCTTGTCCTTGATGGCCTCCTTCAGTGCCACCACGTTGTGTTCCTGATCTGTGATTTCCCGCAGCATCTGCAGACAGGACAGTGCCCCTTGGGCCTGTGCCCCCATGCCCGGGCATATGGAATGTAGAGACCAGTCTGGTCCTACCCAGCTCCTGGGGCTGTGTCCAGAGGGTGGTCCTGACCAGTGGCCCTGGGGAGGCGTGGGTGAGGGGAACAATGTGCACGGGGCCCCCAGCGGGCTCTGGAGAGTCAGGCAGCCTGTTGTCTCTTAGCTCTGGTCCAAGAACCCCCCATCCTTGGTGGTCACCAGGACCCAAATCCTGCTCAAGGACTGGGGACTCAGAGGTGGTAAAGGCCATGCTGAGGCCCTAGAGTCAGAGCCCTGCCTGCCAGGCCAGGACTCTTGGGGACCTCCCAGGCAGTCAATGCTCCCCAGACCAGCTCCTGCCTCCATCCTCCCCACAGCTCCTCCTTCTCAGTCATGGGGGTTGCAACACACTGCGATCATACCCAGTGTCACCTGGTTTTACATAGGTTTACGGAGAGGTGACACTTGCTTCTGGGGTCCCTCGGGATAAGTGGGACAGAGGAGAAAGGTGTTGAGGGCCCAGGCCAGGTGATGAGAGGGGGCAGAGTGGTGGGCAGGCGCCGGAGCCGTCTTCGGGGTTCAGGGTGCCCCACCTTGTGCAGGTGGTGCTGCAGCTTGTGCCGCGCGTCCTCCAGTTCCTCACAGCGGCGCCCGAAGGCCAGGTTCACGGCGTCACACTGGAGTCCCAGGTCCTCGGAGGTGTCGCGAAGGATGCAGTCCACCAGCACCCACAGGTTGGCCGAGTCCAGGCGCTCGCGCTGGGCGTGGCACAGATTGTCCTGTGTGAACTTGGTCCGGGTCTCTGGGGTGGAGGCGCTGCGGGGCTGGGGACAGCCAGGAGAGGGTCAGGGAGGCTATGCCAGTGGCTGGGGGCCCTGCCGCGCCCCCATTCCCTGTCTGCACCCCATGCTCCTGGAGGAACTGCATGGACTCCAATGCACCCCGTGCAGACTCACAAAGCCCAGTCCCCCAAGCTCCCTGCCTCCGAGTGCCCCCCGCCCACAACTCCCCTGAGTCCACCCACACCCTACCCACCCCGGGCACTTAGTCCCCTCCTGCCCCCGCGACCCCGTTCCCAGCACCGCTGCCCCCAAGGCCCCCTCTGCAGCACCTCCGTCCCCCGCAGCCCCCCTTCCCTAGTACCCAGCGCCCGCGTCCGCTTCTCGCACCCAGGAGTTTGCCATGCTCAAGTGGGCGGTGGTCGTGCTCCCTCTGCTGGCCTTGGGTGGAAATGCAATCCTGCCGGCGCCTGGGGCTGACCGCATCCCACCCTGTCCTGTCTACGGGCAACCAGGCTGTGCACGCGCTGGGCACTTGAGGAGGTCTTGCACGCTTTCTCATGCCAGGGGCAGACAGTTGCCCAAGTGCCCTCGGGGGCGAGGGCCTCTGGGCCAGGCTGGGGGAAGCAGCGCCGCTGGGGCCCCCAGGCAGAGGGAGGCGAGACCACAGCCAGGGCAAGCACGGGGACAGAGCTGGGGTCCCCATCTCTTGGAAGGTGGTGGAGTGCCGGATGAGCCTGCACCTCGGTGCTCTGGCTGTGGTGGCGCCCGAAAGTCTCGTCGAGGTTGTAGGCCTCCACCTTGTCCGACCAGTCCATCTCGCAGATCTCCGTGTGCTCTCTGTTCAGTCTGGGGCGGGGTGGGGCAGGGTCTTGGTGTGTGGCCAGGGAGGGCCCCACTGGGTACCCTCCATGCTGCAGGCTAGGCCTTCATGCCCGCTTCAGGAGGGAGCTCTGGGCCGGCTGTCCTTGTGCTCAGCAGTGACGAAGAGCTGCCGCCCATGCTGGGAGGCTGCAGATCAGTTGTGGCACTGGGCTTTGGCCACTCAAACTCAGGCTGGGCTGGAACCTCCCCCACCCAGCCCTGTGCTCCCACTGTGACCTGGGACAGCCCCTGCCGGCTCTGAGCTTCAGGGTTCTGTCGTTCAATGCCTTGCCCCAGGACCAGCCGTGGGTGGGGTCAGGAGTCATCCCTTGGGCAGCCCTCGACCCAAGGGTCTGGCTCACTGCTTGCACGATGGCTCTCTTCAGCAGCTCCTTAATGTTCCGGATGGGCTCAGCTTCCTGAGGGAGGAGACGCCCTGAGCACCAGATCCGGTCCTTGGTGAGGATCCCAGGAGGCCCAGCTGCTGAAGGCCTTGGTCAACACCTGAGCAACCAGAAATAGTTGAATGCCGGGCCTGAGCTCTGACTGTGCAAGTTCTGCTCTCTCACTGGGTTTATCCTGGGCTTTTGGGCATTCTCCTTGGTGCATTGTAAGTGGGTTGTTTTCCTCAAGGGCCTTCTATGGGCTGCTGGGAAGGTCCCTTAGTGGCAGTTCCCACGCCCCAGGCCTCAAGAGTCATCACTGCTGCTCACTCAGTGCACCCAGGAACGTTGGCCTGCCCCTGGCCTCTGGACAGCCCCCGAGGACCCAAACTCTGGGGGCCCAGATGCCCGCCCAGGCTGCCCCTCAGGGCTCTGTGTTGGGAAAGACCATCCTCACACCAAGAACAGGAGGAAGACCCTGTGTTTCTTCTTACTGCCTGGCCAGTTTAATTTTCTGTGTGTAGGAACAAGCCTTTTTTCCCTGTGATTGGGGTCTTTGCCGGGACCACCAGCTACCTCCTTGTGTGCCAGGGCCTGAGTCCTGCACCCCTCTGTCCCTGGGTTTGCCTCTTCCTGCACTGTCAGTGTCTCCATCACTTCGCAGGCACCCTTGTTGCAGGCAGAGGGTTTGCGGGAGCTGCAGCAGTTCTTGAGGCACTGAGAAGGTGCAGGGGGATAGGCCTGCAGAAGGGGAAGGGAGGGAGGAGGGAAGGCATGAAGGGAGGGAGGGACTCAAGGGTTCTTGCCTGAGTTTGGGGGTATGGCAGGAGACCAGCTGCCTCCACCCCACATCTTTCACAAATGTCTACAGGCCTGTAGTGGTTCTCATGGAGGCCCCAGGCTCTGAGAGCTCAGGGAATTCTCCAGAGCCAGCATCAGGGCCAGGACTGAGTTACTCTCTCACCCTATGGGGTTGCCCCATAGACAAGCTGGGCTGGATTGGGAAGTTACAGGTGACAAGGAGAAGGGGACCTGTGGGTGCAGATCTTCGTGTCCCCGGCTCTGTATAGGATGAATGGGAGCAGTGGCTCCCAGCCTATCCCACCCTACCTGTCCACACCCACAGTGCTGGCCCAGACCTGGGTTTCCACCTCGGGAGCAACTGTCCCAATCAGGGAGGGTCTCTGGGGAGCCCAGGGTCAGGATGACTGTGCCAGGACTCAAAGGTATTGGAGGAGGAGAGGAGAAACAGCTGCTTGGAAGTCGGGGCCTTCTGGGGCAAAACTGCCTCCTGTCACTAAGGGGCCAGATTTCGGGACTCAGGGGTCTCACGCATAGAGGGCTGGTCTCCCGTGTGCTTGCAGCAGCCACGTGGCTTGTCCACATGAACTGCCGGGGGCTCCTCCTCTCTGTGCCCACAAGTCCTGGCCACCCAAGGCTGCTGGCACCTTCAGCAGCTCCGTCTCCACATGGTCACGCACAAGGTTGGCGTGCTGGTGGCACTGGCTGCACTGCATGTTGTCAGTGGCAATGGAGAAGGGCACCTCCATGGCATCCAGGGCGCGCTCCAGCCGTTGCTTCTGGGCCAGCAGCAGGTCGGTCTCCGCAGCCAGCACCTTCACCTCGCGCTGCAGCTCCGACTTCCAGCTGTGCGTGTCCTGCAGTCGCTCGCCCACCCTGCACGTGGAGTCTTGCTGTGTCGGCTGTGCCAGCGTCTGGGTCTCTGCGGCCAGCTGCTGGCTCTCGTGCCCCTGCAGCTCCCGCTCTGACTGGTTGCAGTCGGCGAAGGCCTGGTGGTAGCGAGCATAGCAGTTCTGGAACCACACCTCCAGCTGGCGGTGGCCAGGCCGGAGGACGTGTAGACGCCCGTGTTGCGGGCCACATCATACTCTTTGCAGGGCAGCTCGCAGGGCGACACTGTCTGCGGTGCCGGCTCTGGTAGGAGCACATCCGTCTGCACCATGGTGTCTGCCGCCCACCAGGGCCAGGGGAGTGAGGAGTGTGTGTGGTCAGCTTGTTGCGGTCAGCCCAGTGCAGTCATCGGTCGGCTCCAAAGGCTCAGTCCCAGAGCAGGACGTGGCTCCCAGTCGCTTGGGTGACACAGTAAACCAAGAGCTTCCTGTTGCCAAGAAACGGGATCTCTTCTCCAGTGGCTAGGGGAGGGGGCATTCAGGGCGGTGGGCAGAATTGCCCTCTTAAAGGGCCAGGCAGCCCCAGCCCCACCATCCCTGTCCCCACCTCGGGGAAATCAACAGTGGCCAAGGGTTCCTGTCACTTAGAGGATCCCAGGGCCAGCCCGTCTCCAGCCTCTGTGTCCCACCCTTAGGGTTCAGGGTGTGGGTGGGGACCTACTGCCCTGGCCCCTTCGTTGATTCATCCATTTGTTCCTGGTTTGCTCTCTGATCCTGTCCTGTGCGGAGCTCCATGCTCAGGGTGAACAAGACAGAGGAGGCTCTGCCCACCTGCCCCCTCAGGGCAGAGGGCTGTGGTTGTTGTGTGGATGTTGGGTGTGCTGAGTGATAGTGTTACTTGATGCCGTACAGGTGGCTGCTCTCCCTGCCCTCCTGGCCCCAACAGCAGCCTGGTAGCACAGGGAGGGTCCCAGGCCAGGCCCCCTCAGGGGCAGTCTGAGGCAGTTCCTGCAGGGACTCCGCTCCATTTTCTCCTGGACCTAGTGCCTGAGAGCCAGGCCCTGGCCTCTGGCCTTCTCCTCCCAAGTCCCAGCCAGGGTCCCCTCAGGCTGGGCACAGCGGGGAGGGAGGGAGTCTGAGTGTGCTTTTCCCTGGAGAGTTGAATTCAGCCTCTGGATAAGTGTCCAGAGTCATATGCCCAAATCTGCCCCACAGGGCGGAGGCAGGTCTTGTGCTGCGGAGGCTGCCCTGAAAGCCACCCAGGGCCATGCTGCCTGGCGGAGGCTGGATGGGCAGTAAGCGCCCCAGGACACATCAGCATCCCCCAAACCTGGGGCCAGGGGAGCCCCAGCCTAGGCGCGATTCCCCACGCAGCCAGCGAAGGGCGGCTTTGGCCTGGCGGTGAGAAGCCTGCGGCTCCTGGCTCGGCCTCCCCTCCACCTGCCTGGCGCATGCACTCCTGGGGACCCCAGCCCCTCCGGCCTCCTCTTCCCTGAGAATCCCGCACCAGAAAGTCCTCGCTAGGAAGTCCATGCCCTTCCTACAGCACAGGCCCCTGGTCCCCTGTTCCTTCCACCTTCACCTCCTCTCCCACCACAGCCCGCACCCTCACTCCAGCCACAGGAGCCGGGGCTCCTCCTGGGCCATTCCCACCACGCCGCCCAGGTCTCTCCAGCACAACCATGTGCCGGCCAGTGCCCTCCTCCTGGACCTGACCTCCCCCGGTCCTGACCTCTCCCGTGGCCAGAACCCTCAGTCCATGCTGCTGTCACCACGGTGCGCCTGGCCTGACACAGCCTCCTGATGGGGCTTTGAGGACAGCAGCCGGGAGACTTACCCCAACCCAGGCCGAGCCAGAACCTATTGCAGGTGGCCTGGGAACCTCTTCTCACTGTCCGTCAAGATTGGGAGGTCAGCGGACCTTCAGGGACTGGTGTGGTCTGAGAAACATCCTTGAGCCTCGCCATGACTCAGTTTCCCCAGATGGCAGCAGGCTGGAGCCCATGCAGGGCAGGATGCCAGGCTCCACCTTTTGTCTGGAACCTGCATTCACTGGGCACCTCTCTGTAGGCATAGCAGAGCAGAGCTCCCTGTTTCTGTCCCTGATCTGCAGCCCCAGGAGCCCGAGAGACCACCTAAGCCAAGGAGAAGGCCTCTGGGCCAGAGCCCAGCTCTGCGAAGTGGGAGACCTCTCAGCCTCCACTTCCAGGTGCCCTGAAGTCGTTGGCAGGGGGTGCTGCCTACTTGGGGCTCCCAGACTAAGGGAACACATTCACCTGGTGACCACAATAGGCCCTGCAGGCTGAGGCACAGGATTTGACCAAGGACGCATCAGAGTTAGGGGACTGGGCCCTGACTCCTGCCAGCTGCAAACTCCCAAAGCCCCCAGCCCTTTCATGGGGTGAAGACACCCTGAAGGACACTCCAGTGTGCTCCCACCTCTGGGTTCTGCCAGCCAGAGAGTGGGACTCTCAGGCCACATGTGTCTTGCTGGATCTCAGCTTCAGGGACCCAGGGTGCTGGCAGCTCTCTGAGACCTGGGTCAGGGGGTGTCCATTAGAGCACCTTGGTCAGGACCCAGAGATAGGGAGGGCAGGGCTAAGAGCACCCCAGGCAGTTGGCATCTCCAGAAAGCAGGAGGTAGGGCATGGCTCTGTGACAGATGTCCCGTGACAGGGAGGATTGGAGGGACAGAGGGACGTGCTCAGGGGCTGAGGGGCAGACGAGGCTACCAAAGGGCACCTTGGACACTGGATGGCCCCAGGAAGGCCCCTGAACCCCATCCTGATTGATCCAGGACCAGTGTCCTTGGCCCAGACTGCAGGCCTGGGGACTCAGGTTCCTTTAGTTTCTTAAGAAACTACTATACTCCTTTTTGGCATAGCTGTACGATTTTACATTCCCACCAGTCATGTGTGAAAGCTCCAGTTTTTACTCATGCTCCCCAGCGTTTGATGTTTTATTTTTATTTTAGCTATTCTGATATATATGTGTTAGTCATTGTGGTCTTAATTTGCAAATTTCTAATGACTAATGATATTTAACATCTTTTCCTGTTCATAATTAAATACCATCTGTATTCCTTTTCACATATCATTAGCACAAATGTGAAATATCAGAACAAAATTTTTCACACAACTTCAAAATTTTTAGAGCAATACTCAAGGGAAAAGGTGTTTATTTAGAACAATGAAAACAATGAGACATTAACTTCCAGCTTAAATAAAGTTGATTGTGTGCATAAAAATGGTGAAAATATTGGACTTTCTTGGCAAAAGAAGAAAGGAGAAGACTTTATATTTTCTGACATAATATTCATCATTTGTCTTTGGTTTGTGTATTATGTGTATGATTTTGAAAAAATGCATCAAAGATATAACTTTCTGGTGTTTGCTTTGATATTATCCTTGCAAACAGAAAAGTTGGCACATGTTTCTGTATAAAACTGGTCAAAGTTGGCCTAGGAATGATCTTACATTGTACTTTCACTTTACATCATACTGTAAGAGTTTAATAATAGCTAAGGCATCAGCATTGATGTGGACTTATTATACCTATTCAAGAGGTGGTGTGAGGTTTAGGAGAGTTATGTGCCCTTTATCATAAAACAAATCTATGAAGCATTTATATAAAAACCCAGTATTTCTGGTTTCAAATTCAGTACTGTGCCGTCTGCTTGATAGATTTGTTCACAGGTTAGAGACATTTTATTGCATAACTTCCATGAAATATCACAGTTGTACTCTTGACTATGTTTGAATCACAAAAGACTTTAATCTGCACTCAGTTCTTGTAACTAAAATCTTCAGTTTGAATATGAATTTCACTTAAAGAACATCCCTAGAAATTACAGAGAGAAAAAGACTTTACTTGCAGAATACAATCTGCATTTGCTTTGACAACTAGTTAGTTCACATATGTAAAATAAGTCTACCTGTCTGTATGCATAATTAAGATGTAACAGTAGTGTGGTAATGACTTGTTAAAGCAATTCGAATGGCAGTGGATCATGGCACAATTTACCTTAAAAGCCATGAGCAGAATACATCACAAGCTATGATACAATGAATAGTCATTAGGTTTAAAGTAGTATCCACATATAAAAACACAAAGCATATTTTAGCTCTTTAAATGAAAGCTTCATTCAGTCAATATTGGTCTTCCTGTAGATGCATTTATGAAACAAAACCACAAAACATACAGCTTACCCGCTTCTCAAAACTCATTGCACAATAGGTTGAGGGACTTCTCTACACCAGGACCTATTATTAAAACCAGTAAGTCCTCAGTGAAAATCATTTATATGCCCGGAGTGTCATCTGATGTGTCTGTTGTAGGCAGCTGTGGCAGTGGTGGGTGGTTTAGTGACACGGACCCTGCCCACGTCTGTCCGTCCATCAGTGGGCTAGTGTCTCTCTGGCTGCACCTGAGAAGGGTCTATAGGAGTTAACAGCATTAGCATGGGATTCAAAAGAAATCATCTTGGATTCAAACTTCCATTTCAGTATTCATTTCCAGCTAAGTTTGTGTAGCATGCTTAATGTTTCTGAAGCTCAATTTTAGTAATGGTAAAGTATATCTGCCTAAAAGACAGGGACACATCCCAGTTTTGTGTTTTTTTATTTGTATTTTATTGTATTTTTCTTGAGACGGAGTTTTGCTCTTGCTGCCCAGGCTGGAGTACAATGGTGCAATCTCGGCTTACCACAACCTCCGCCTCCTGGGTTCAAGGGACTCTCCTGCTTCAGCATTCTGAGTAAATGGAATTACAGGTGCCCGCCACCACGCCCAGCTAATTTTTTGTATTTTTAATAGAGACGGGTTTCACCATGTTGGCCAGGCTGGTCTTGAACCTCTGACCTCAGATGATCCACCCACCTCAGATGATAATCCCGCCAAGTGCTGGGATTACAGGTGTGAGCCACCATGCCCGGCCTTATCCTCAAAAAAGAATTTATCAAAATTGTATATGTGTGTGTGTGTGTGTGTGTGTGTATGTTTTAAGTAGAGTAATACTATATTAAAATGCCACTATATATGTTCTAACAAAAAACCTCAATTTAACAAATGTATGTGGGGAGAGGGAGAGAGGGAGAGAGAGAGAAGGAGGGAGGCAGAGAGAGAGAGAAGAGAGAGATATGTATCTCTGGTGTCTCTTTCTTTTTGGATGATGACCCCAGTCCTAACAGATTAGGGCCTTACCCTTTTGCCCCTATTTAACCTTTAACTTCTTAAAAGCTCCTTTTCCAAATACAGTCACACTGGGAGATAGGGCTTCAGGTTAGGAATTCTGGGGGGACATAATTCTCTCCAGAACAGACACTAATAACATGAGTGCTCAGATTGCTAGTGAATATGTTCTTGTTACAATTATTTTCACCTTGCAGTTTTAAATAATGAATACTTGGATAAAAAATACCCACTGTATTCTAATTTTTTCAACACTTCTTACTTGCATGGATTCTAAACAGAAGTCCAATGTAATTCTTATGTCTGTTTCTCTGTAGACAATGTGTTTCTTCCTCTGCCTTATTTTAATATTTTATCTTTGTTACAGGTTTTCTACGGTTTGAATATGATATTCCTAGGTATATTTTTAAAATATTCATCCTGCTTGGTGTTCTCTGAGCTTTTTGGATTTGTAATTTGGTGTCTGTCATTAATTTGTGTTTTTTTCCTAGTTAAAAAAATGAACTTTATAGATTTTACATTCTCAACTTTCACTTATTTTCAAAATGAGAGACAAGACACCTAAACTCCAAGATTTCAGTCCTGAATGCAATAGTACCAGATTTTCAAGTTACATAAGTGAACTGCATAAACATCACTAGTTTCAAGTGTACCCTATAAGAAACACATGGACATACTTGCGTTGTTTAACCACACGGTGTCATATCAATAAACATCAAAGTATCTGACATATATTTGTCCATTAAAAGTAAACACAACTCTGAGTATCAAATTAAATTAATCATTTGCCTTTTATAATCTAAATCAGAAATTGAAAAACAGGAACATTGTAGAGGTAAGTGGCTAAAAATGCTCTGCTTACTGCACACAAGCACATCATGACAAAGAATGCTAGAAGTAGCTTTCCTCAGAAGTAATAATTGAACATTTAAAATATTATTTTCTCAGAAAAGTTAAAGCTTTTAGTGTAAAAGGCATGATAAATGACATTTTAACTTAATAGTTAACTATATAGCTAATTATAGATTTCAAGCAATTAGTTACCCACATTTCACCAGAACCTTCAGTGAAAGTGTCTACTCTCAACATTGACCAGAACCTTCCTGTTCTGAAGTGTCTACTCTTTAGAGTTGCTTCAGCTTTACATATCTGTAAAACCTAAGATTACTCAATGAGAAGTTACACCTTATTCTGTACTAGATACACATAATATATATAGATTTAGAACAAATGGATGTTTTTCAACTTCAAAAAAAGTATTTTAATTTACACAATGTTAGTTTGTTTTTCACCCATGTGTATACATAACAGTGTTTCCCAAATTCACAGGGTCCATTTCCATAATTCTAAAGCAAAAATAGAGGCACACAAATGGATAATAATTCATAGTTTTATGCCTTTTTTTTAACCTATCTTTAAAGAAATTCAGTTGCCATGTAGACAAAGATGTGATGAACCTGTAACACATTTCTATGACTTGGAAAATTAAAGGTCTAAAAATCCTAAATGTAGTAGCTCTGGGCAGTTTGCAATTTGTGCATGGGTTCACTCACCCTATGGTCCGTGAACTCCCTTATCCTGCAAGCTGTAGGTACTTTCAGCAAATATGAGACTCAATAAGACTAAGGAAGGGCTTGTTTAAATTAGTTCCCCTCACAGTTGATTCTAATCTTGCAATGAACAGATTTAATGTACTAGTGAGTTAAATTTTAAAGTAATTATAAAGCCATTTACTCTATCATAAATGAATGAAATGTAAGAATCACACTTAAAACAAGTCTTTCATTTTAATGAATGGTATCTTTCATTTATATACGAGGAATTCACTTGCCAGCAGCATTTAAATATAGGAATAGTCTCGTCTTTTCTCTAGTGCCTTTTATAAAGCAGTGCGATTTCTAACTAGGTGTATTTGTTTCCCAGCTATTCAGTAACTACACTATAGGTATCTAATAGATTCAAGAAAAGATTGGAAAATTGAGAAGATTTAGCATTTTAAACATTTGAAAAATGTTGCTACAAAGCATAGATTATGAATGCATTAGTAAAATAAATTGACACCTTATGTGAGAATCATTAAGTTGGTTTAATTATATCACAGAAGTATGGGCTCACTAATATTTATACCAATTTATGCTAATTAAACCAGAAAGTTTCTGTAGGTAATTCAGCTCTGAGCACCATTTAATAGGGTTATGCCAAACAGAACCAATGGTTATATAATACCCAGAATATAAACCTCAGCAAATTCATACTTTTGGAATGGCAACACAAGTGAGAATGAGAGGCAATATTTCATTTCAAAGTACCATAGGCTGCTAAGAGTGTTCTTTTCTTTTAAAAATTTGTGTGGTTGTTAGTAATGTACCTTAACACTGGTCCTCCTTGACAGCGGTGTTAGAGATGGTTAGGTAGAACCTATATTACGGAAGTCAGCCTTGCCCATTTCTTTAGTTCAGTGATTAAAATTGAAATTACTTTTACAAAACAATTGAACTGCTGCTTACAATATAAATAGAATACCAACAGGATTCCTGTTGTATTCACATTATTCTCTAATTAGTATTTTTACATTTCCACTCTGACCTGACCTTCAGTAGTTCCTTTATTTTTATTTTCAAGCATTTTTGTGAGTATATAATAAGCATATATATTTATGGGGTGCATGAGATGTTTTGATACAGGCATGCAGCATGAACTAATCACATCATGGAGAGTGGGTATCCATCCCTTTAAGCATGTTTCCTTTGTGTTACAATCCAATTAGATTCTTTTAGTTATTTTTAAATGTACAATTATTGACTAGAGTCCCCCTGTTGTGCTATCAAATAGTATGTCTTATTCATTCCTTCTGCCTATTTTTGTACCCATTACCCGTGCCCTGTCTCCCCCCATCAGCCCCCTAGTACTTACTATGTCCATGAGTTCAATTGTTTTGATTTTTAGATCCCACAAATAAGTGAGAACATGCAATGTCTGCCTTTCCGTGCTTGGCTTATTTCCCTTAACATAATGATATCCAGTTCCTTCCATGTTGTTGCAAATGACTGAATCTCATTCTTTTTTAGGGCTGAATAATACTCCACTGTGTGTATCTACCACATTTTCTTTAATACATTAATCTGTTGATGGACACTTAGGTTGCTTCCAAATCTTAGCTATTGTCAACAGTGGTGCAACCAACATGGGAGTGCAGATAATTTCTTCGATATACTCATTTCTTATTTCTGGGGTATATATCCAACAGTGGGATTGCTGGATCATGTGGCACCTCTATTTTCAGTGTTTAGAGGAACCTCCAAACTGTTCTCCACCATGGCTGTACCAGTAGTACCTTAAAATGCAAATGCAATTGGTAAAAGAACAAGGCAGCGTGTAGTGCTTTCACTTACAAATACTACCAGTTTTGTAACAATTTGCATTTTTTTTGTCCTTGAAAGGGTAACCACTTACTTAATAAAACGGATATTTAAAAGCACAATATTCCTTCCTTTGCATGGCATGCAGGAATGGTGAAAGCAAAGAAACAGTCATCCCTTCTCCCCCCCACTTCTGGTCTCCCAAAATAGGAATGCCAGGTCAGACAGGTGGAGGAGGGAAATGGGGCACTGGTCAAGGTATGATGAATCTCTTAAAAAGAAATCCGGCCAGGCGCAGTGGCTCACGCCTGTAATCCCAGCACTTTGGGAGGCAGAGGCGGGCGGATCACTAGGTCAGGAATCAAGACCATCCTGGAGAACACGGTGAAACACCGTCTCTACTAAAAATACAAAAAAATTAGCCGTGTGTGGTGGCGGACGCCTGTAGTCCCAGCTACTGGGAGGCTGGGGCTGGAGAATGGCATAAACCCGAGGGGCGGAGCTTGCAGTGAGCGGAGATGGCGCCACTGCATTCCAGCCTGGGCGACAGAGTGAGACACCTTCCCCCCACTGCCAAAAAAAAAAAAAAAATACAGCTTTCCCCAGAATGCTAGCCTGATAGGAACTCCACCCCATCCATTCCAACCTAGTAAGGATAGTTTAGTTTGTCTTTTCTGGTCTCACTTCATTACATCTAGTGTTCTTTTTTTGTTTCTGTTATTAAATTTCAGAAGACAAACCCTAGCATTTTCTAAAAGAAATTATTTTTTACCTAAATACATTGGACTTTGGTCTTAATTTGAAGGAATAGGATAAGTGGACTTTAAGAGAGCGTTCCTACTCCTTCTCTTCCAGTGGCTGCTCTGGGTCCTTGAAAGAGGGTGTGATGTGAACCATCTGGGTTGTGAAGTGGATTTTGTTGAGCCTGTGTTTTTTAAGTCCATTAGTCCTGCCCGACGCTGTGCACCCTGGAATCCTTGGCTTCACGTCTGGACCACCTTCAGCCAAGTGGTGATGGTGGAGAGGGTCCCCCCATCTTCCAGGACGTGTGAGAGTTTGTAGGTGGTGAGATGGAGGGGGAAGCTTTTAAATCTTCCAGTACCCACCCCCGCTGCTGGGGGTGCTCTCCCCATCGTCCTTGTCCAGGACTCCCATCAGGGTCTCAATCTCTTCTGTGATGCTCTGACTCACATGCTGGGAGGCCCTTTCCCCAATGTAGTCCCTGATGTCAACATCGGCGTCCTATGTCCCCACTAGCAGCTTCACCATCTCCAAGGTAAATGGCTGCCAAGTGCAGGGCGGTGTAGCTCTGGCCTTGCTGTTCCCAGGCAGCAGAGGCTCGTTGGGGAAGTTGACCAACATGGCCAGAAGCTCCAGCCTGCAGTGCTAGGTGCCTGCGCAGGCAGGTGAGGCTGTGATGAAGCCCAGAGTGGCCAGCAGGCTGGCTGGCACGGGGGCAACCCCCTAAGCTGTCCACTCCCCATCGGAGGCCGAGAGCAGCCAGCCGTGCTCCCTGGTCCAGCTCACCCAGCCCCACAGCTCTCCTCTGCGGACGGGAAAGCCAGTGCTGCGCCGCCAGAGTCCCTCGCCTCTGCGGTGTCCTCGGAGGAGGAGCTCCCAGGCTGCTGCCTCCAGGACACAGGTTCCTCTTCAAGGGCAGGACACTGCGCCTTCCCAAGTCGCTCAAGTTCTGGAGGAATGGCCTCGGGGTGGTAGCCCCCCAGGAGCCGCCCCTGTCCGCCTCCTGGCAACCGTTGGGCGGGGGCTCCAGGTCCTTGCTGGTCTGAGGTCCCGCATCTGGGGTAGGGGCTGGTGGAGCCAGCGAGCTCTTCCTGCGTCCCCGCCGCTCAGGGCGGCCCGTGCAGGGGCTGGGCTCCCCCTTGCCCAGCTCGGCCCTGCCTGTGGAGCACCTCGGGGACCGCTGTTTCAGGGAGGGGATGGTGAATGCTGCGCTCCGCATTCACATGGACGCGGGACAGGTCTCAGGGGCGCGGCCTCAGGCGGAGGCCCCGCCAGAACCTCTTCCTGAGACGCAGGTACTGGGCGCCATCGACGGGGTCCGTGCAGTGGCCACAGCGTTCACCCGGAGATACATTTAAACAGTTTTATTCTCCTGTTTTTTATTTTTTCATTCCAGAAACCATTACTACTATGCAACAAAGTAAAAATATCTAGTTTAAATAATAATTTGATACGGTCAGGTGGGGATGAGTGCACACGTGTATGTACACACAAACGCAGGCTCTAAATGGGATATTTTGGCGGAGCAGAGGGATAAGGCTTTTATTTCGTTGGTGTGTTGAGTTAGAATCGCCCTTCTCACAATTAAATAATTTAAATCAGGAGTTTTATTAAAGCTAATTTGTACAACTAGGCAATATCTTTTCTCCATATATTTATACACATGTACACATCTCTAATATTTGCATTTATTACTTCATCTAAAAGAGCTTGGAAAAAGGGTCCTAGGTCTTGGCTAGTTAAGGTAAAAATCTATATTTTAAGGTAATAAAAACGTTTGCTATGGACAGAGACATGCAGACTCTGTGGCTGAAGCTGATTCATGTTCCATTGAAGGAAATGACATGGGGTTTTCTAAGGGAAAGCCCAGCAAGCTGCAAGGAGAGGGGAGGTCCCAGGAGGGAATTGGAGTCAGCATTAGGATCTAAGTGTCACAGGGGAGTGTGTTCCCAAAAAAGACTGTGACTGTTTCTGTGTCCATCCTGAACTGGTTACCATGAGTGTGTGTGTGTGTGTGTGTGTGTGTGTGTGTGTGTGTGTTTGTGAATTAAAAGAGGAGTTACATGCTGGGGCATTTCTGGTATCTCAACTGGCATCTCAGTTGCTGGTGATGATGGCTATACATTTTCCTCAGTATTCAATGTGCGTATTTTGAGTTAACAGTCCACCCATTGGCTGAGGCAGGTGGATCATCTGAGGTGAAGAGTTCGAGACCAGCCTGGCCAATATGTGAAACTCTGTCTCTACTAAAAATACAAAAATTAGCCAGGCATGGTTGCAGCACCTGTAATCCCAGCTTCTTGGATTGCTTGAATCCAGGAGACAGAATTTGCAGTGAGCTGAGATGAACCACTGCACTCCAGCTTGGGCAGCAGAGTGAGACTTGGTCTCAAAAAAAAAAAGTTATTGTGACATGCTGTACACATTCACAAATTCAGTGTCTCCCAGAAGTCTGAGATTCTTTTTTTCTTTCTTTCTTTTTTTTTTTTGAGAAGGAATTTCACTCTTGTTGCTCAGGCTGGAGTGCAATGGTGTGATCTCGGCTAATTACAACCCTTCCTGGGTTCAAGCGATTCTTCTGCCTCAGCCCAAGTAGCTCCTGCCTCCCAAGTAGCTGGGATTACAGGCATGTGACACCATGCGCAGCTAATTTTTTATTTTTAGTAGAGTTGGGGTTTCTGCACGTTGATCAGGCTGGTCTTGAACTCCTGACCTCAGGTGATCCACCCGCCTTGGCCTCTCGAATTGCTGGGATTACAGCCATGAGCCACCATGCCCAGCCAGAAAGTTTTAAGGCTATGATTATTAGACCATCATACACACAAAAAGTACTTAAAAAGTCTCAGGAATGCAGTCCCTCATTGGCCTGGTATGACAAAGATAAAAAGAAGTTGGTCGTGAAAATTTCTGAACGTGGTTTAGGACAAGGAGCCCCAGTAAGATTCAGAGACAACCTAGAAAATTGAAAGACAATTTTACTACCCAAATCACCCTTCTATAAAAAATAATAGAAGATGTCAAATATGAAAATAAAACTGTCCTCTGGGCCCTCAATTTTCTGTGTTATTGGGAAGGCAGACAGCTACTCAGCAGTTATATCCCATAAGAATGGATAACACTAAAACAGCTGACATCATCAAGTATTGGTTAGAAAGTGGAACTGATTCTCTCAAACATTTTCATTGTAGTTTAAGATGGCACAACCACTTAGGAAAATGTCTCCCTATTTCATACAATGCCAAATATATACTTATTTTATAACCCAGAAAATCCACTCTTATGTACTTAAACTCAAGAAAAGTGAAAATATTATTACAGAAAAATGTGTATATCTGATTTGTTCGTAGCAGGTTTATTCATGATAACCTCAAATCAGAAACTGCTTTTGTGTCTATCAATAGTGGAGTGGATTATAAACAAAACAAGCAAAGGCCTCAAACCTGTGGTATAGTCATAAAATTGAGTATTACAAAATAAAATTAGTGAATAATCAATAGGAGCAAAATGATGTCACAAGCATGTTTAGTGAATGAACATAAAAATTATATAATTTATAATTTCACTTATGTAAATGGTGAAAACAGACAAAACTATCCTTTTGTGGAAAGAATCAAAACCATGGAAGTCTCTGTGTTCAAATACTGAATGGAAATGGGCATGAGAAAACGTGTTTCTGCCAGATCTTCTATATGCCTGATGTACATTCACTAGATGTATTTTGCATATACTATTTTTGCAAATAAAACTGAGATAGACACAAAATAACTCAAGAGAAAATAGCTAGAAATAAGTAGAGTTGGGATAGAAGCCTTGGAAGCTCCCCCCTACCTTGCTCACCTGGCACAGGCCGAGGAAGCCCTTGGACAATGCTGTGAGCGATCTGAGGGCCTTCCAGGGGAGCCCCCCCAGCCCATGCTGGTGCCCGAGCTGCCCGCCGCCATCTGAATATGTTGCAAAGACAGTGCTGGCCTGGCAACCGGTGACACTCCATGCCCCACCCCGACCCCCACTTCTACCCAAGTAGCGGCAACCCCAGAGACAGATGCCTGGGCGGCAGCGGCTAAGTCTGGTAGTTGGCCAGGCGGCCAAAGGACGGGAACTGGCTGTTCACCCCATCCCAGTTTCCACGGAGAACTCAACCATCATGGCCCCTGAGCGGACCCTCAGGCCTGGGCTGTGCTCTGTGCCTGCAAACCTGACGCCATCCAGGGGAGCTCCGCCTTCCCACGCCAGCGCCTCAGCTGCTGCAGAAAACTGCAAAACTGCAAGTTGCACACAGGCAGAGATGACGGAGCAACCCCTGACCCTCCGTGCCACTCACCCTACCCGCACACACACCTGCCACGCGGACCCTGAGGCCAGTGCCTGGGCGCCCAAGTCAGGCAGTCCGCACAGCAGTGGCACCAGGGTGAAAACCTGCTGCTCAATACCATCCCGGTTACCACGAAGAGCCAGCCCTGGTGGCCCCTGAGTTCTTGGAGGAGGCCAAGTCACAGCAACCCCTCAAGTGGGCGGGCGATGCACTTGACCCTGAGGACATCAGGTACCAGGCCCGCCAGCTGACGCCACATCGGAGCCGCAGCTGCAGTCTAGACGTGGTGCACCGGCAGTAAGTGACTGGACACCCCAAACCAGGCCCGCCCCCCAGTAGCGTGGATCCTGAGACCAGACCCCCAGGCGGCAAAATCAGGCGATGGGCCCCGCCAGCAGCTGCTCAGTTTCATCCATGTGGATACAGAGTGCCCAGCGCCCGGGCCCAGGATCCAGAGAGATGCCCAAGAAGAGCGGAAGTTGAGGCCAGGTGGGCTGTGCGCTCTGCAACCCTGAGGCCATCCAAGGGAAGCTCCGCCGTCCCACGCCAGTGCCAGATCTGCAGCTGCAAACTGTGCGTGGGGCACTGGCAGCAGTTAGGGCTGGTGGGGGAAAGAGCAGCCCCTGACTCTGCCTCCATGCCTCTACAGCTACCTGACACTAGCCACACAGACTCCAGGGCCAGAGCCTCAGCGTGAAGCCAGGCCATCTGCGAAGCCACCCAGGTGGCAGCGGAGTGCCCTTGCCAGCACCCTATCTCCCTTCCGAGGAGGAGCGGGGTGGGCTGCAAGGCCAGACAGGCCCTCCTTCTCAGGCCGGGCTGGCGGCGCTCCTGCGATCCTGGGGCCGCCCGGGCGATCCCAAGAGGACCTGCGAGCTCATCGGCACCCGCCCAGAGCTGCAGCCCCACCTGCCGGCACGCGCCACCAGGGAAGGGCTTCCGGGAGCCAGGCAGCAACCGCGGTGCAGGCGCGCGCCCAACGGCTTTGCGAGGCTCACTCGGTCTGAGAGGTGGGAGGCTACGAGTGTCGCTGCTGAAGGCTGTGGTGGACCGGGCTGGATCGCGGACTGTGGAGTAGATCACAGATTTGGGATCGCGGATTGGGGGTTGATCGCGGATTGGGGGTTGGATCAGGGATTTGGGGTTGGATAGGGGATTTGGGGCTGGGTCGGCCGGGGTCGGCGGAGGAGGTGGGTGAAAAGGTGACAGGGAGGTCGGCCGGGGTCGGGGGAGGGGGGTGGTGAAAAGGTGACAGGGAGCTGCCCCCGCTCAAGAGCCGGAGGTTGGGGTTTCTGAGAAGTCACCACTATGAAGTTATTCGGCTTCGGGAGCCGCAGGAGCCAAACGGCCAACGGCTCCATAGAACATGTCTACACGGGTTCCGGATACCGAATCTGGGACTCCGAACTGCAGAAGATCCACAGGGCAGCTGTCAAGGGCGACGCCGCGGGGGTGGAGCGCTGCCTGGCGCGCAGGAGCGGAGACCTGGATGCCCTGGACAAGCAGCACAGGTAGCGGGGACTCAGCCCGGGGTGGGAGGGGGTCCCCAGGCCCGGCTTCCCCACTGCCCCTGGGACGGGGCCTTTCAGGGCTCTGGGCACCCTCAGAGCAGCGGAGCCAAACGGACTCTCAGCTGTTTTCCATCCCTCATAATTCCATGGCTGGAGCAGTTGGAGAATTTGAGTGATTTAACTCACAAAGTTAAGCATACACAGTGTTGTTATTTTTAACGTACACGTTGAAAACATGGTTTATATACATTATAGGAGGTGCCTAATGAGAGAACTCGTTCCCCTATCAAAAATACCGTGAGTTATTTCAGTAGGCAAAAAGTTCTCAGATAAGAGAGCTTACTTGAAAAATATTTACTATATTATATATATATATATATATATATATATATATATATATGTATGTATGTATTTTCAGATGAAAAGTATGTTTTCATTTTATAGGGAATTCATTATATTCTTTTTTTTTTTTGAGTCGGAGTCTCGCTTCTTTGCCCAGGCTGGTGTCCAATGGCACAATCTTGGCTCACTGCAACCTCTGCCTGCCGGGTTCAAGCAATTCTCCTACCTCAGCCTCTCAAGTAGCTTGGATTATAGGCAGGTGCCAGCGTGCCTGGCTAATTTTTGTATATTTAGTAGAGAGGGGGTTTCACCACGTTGGCCAGGCTGGTCTCGAACTGCTGACCTCAAGTGATCTGCCCGCCTCCGCCTCCCAAAATGCTGGGATTACAGGTGTGAGCCACTGCGCCCAGCCTATGTTGTTTATTATATATCATAAGTTATATATATATATATATATATATATATATATATATATATATATATATATCTGATACGTATACATATATACCAGATAAAATATGTCATATATATCAGTTATATATACACATTAGATGAAAAGTACATTTTCATTTGACAGGGAATTCTTTCAAATCAAATCATCAAACACTCTAAAATTGGGCAAAGTACACTTTTCCAGATCTGCAAGTTACTTGTGTACATAGGAAAAAGTCCTTCGCATTTCTGGTATAAGAATTTAAATTAAAAGAGGAATGAAACAGTTTTCTATCCACAATATTTGTGAGGATGTTTTATACTCCTGCTTAAAGTTTAAGTTGCTGATTACTTTTCAAATAGATAATTTGGTGGTAAGTACTACAATTAAAAAATATGTATGCCCTTTACACATCAATTCCATTTACTAAAACACCCTTAGGAAATAAAGATACATGCACTTTATTTTTCACCTCACTTATTTTAAAAAGAACCCAAAGAATGGATCCTATAAATAAACTTCAGTTGCATCCACAGGATGGAATAATATGTGACCATTGAAGGTGGCAATAGATACAGAAGTATATTGATGTGCAAAGATGTATTTTGTTATAGCTAGTGAGAAAAAAATCAATTAAGTTATACATACAAACAAACTATGGTCTTGTTTTATCAAAAAATATGTACAAAATATAAAATTTGTAATTTCTGAGCATTTGTATTTTAAGTAAAGTTCTTTTCCTTTTTCTTATCTGTGATTGCTGCAGTGAGCATGTACAAAACTTCTAGTAAAGTTTATTAATAAAGAAATAATCCTTGGGAAGACAGGAATATGAATCTTACAATATTAAAAATAATTTCTCACTTTCTATTTTTTATCATTATTGAGTGTATTGTTATCTTCTTTGAACTTTTAGCCTCTTCAGAAGTAAAAAGGGAATATTTTTATCTGTTTCCAGATTTTATTATCTATATATTTTATTATGTACATATGTTTTTCTTATGTATTCATTCAATTTATGCAAACAATGATAGATTAATCATTTCATTTTAATTGTATTCTTAAATAAAAATAACATATAAATATTACTATTGCAAAAATATTGCTTTATAGGAGTTTATTTAAAAATATTGAACTCCCCAACTGTATTTTTCCATTCTTTCATTCCATTTATTCATCAAACATAACCTGAGTATCTGTTATGTAGCAGACATATTCTGCTGTCTCTCAGGTCCCTTCTATCCTTAAAAACTTCATGTTTACCTGCCCTGCCTGCACAAGCTGAGAGATTTAAAATAGGAATATTGGGACTTAATCTCCTTGAAACTTTGTCACCCAACTTTCAAACAAAAGCATTTCTGAAGTTAGAAAATAGTAGAAGATAAGCTTTAACTGCCCACTCAAAAGTTTATCAGTCTTAAATATTAATATTAATCATGGGAATGTCTTATTTACATATATTCTGTAAGCATAAATATTGAATAAAATGAACCATATGTATTCATTTGAATCATGAGTTTCCTTTGTCTTCAATTTGTTTGAAAATCAAGGAATTAATTTGTTTGAAAAATGCATTATTATTATTTCAGTGTTCTATCCCCATAGTACCTTTAAGCAGGCGGACAAGCCAGCAACCTCACCCGCTCAAGGAAGCCCAGATGGCCAGGTTCCAACAGCATGAGTAGCTGCCACCTGATGGCTGATGGAGCAGAGTCCTGAGGAAAAGCAGATGGCACTGGGGCCCTAACTCTAGGGCAGAAGAACTGATGTACTGTGACTGGCAGCATGTGAGGTTGGTGATTGGCCCACCTGTTCCTGGCACACCCTTGAAGAGGTGGCTGGTTGCTCTTTGAGCCAGCTTGGCCTTGCCTGGCATGCACAAGCCTCGGTGCAACAACCGTGCTACAAATGGAGCCATATATAGGAAAGGAGCAGGAGGCTCAGGAGCAGGGTGTGCACTGCCTTTGGGGCTCCAGTGCATGCCTCAGGGCTCCTATGGCACTGCAGGCTTCTTTGTTGCCAAGAGGCAGACCACAGGCCGTCTTGAGGAAGACTTTATGTACAAGTGCAGAAAGCAGCCAGGATTACCACCCAGGGGACTTGGTCTTCTGTGGCCCTGGCCTGACAGAATTTGGCCCAAGGCAGGACAAGGTCACTCAGAGCAGTGTGTCAGTAGGTGGGGCCTGGGCATGCGAGGCAAGGCCAAGCTGGCTCAAAGAGCAAGAAGCCACCTCTGCAAGGGTGTGCCTGGAGCAGGTGGACCAGCCACCAACCTCACCCACTGAAAGAAGCCAGGATGGCCAGGTTTCCACAGCCTGAGTGGCTGCCTCCTGATGGCTGATGGAGCAGAGGCCTGAGGAAAAGCAGGTGGCACATTTAACTCTTTAATCCATCTTAAGTTAATTTTTGTATAAAGCAGATGGCACCAGTCCATGCCTCAGGGCTCATATGGCACTGTGGGCCACAGAAGGGTGAGTCCCCAGGGTGGTAATCCTGCCTGCTTTCTGCACTTGAACATAAAGTCCTCTTCAAGACGGCCTGTGGTCTGCCTCTTGGCCCCACCTTTAGGGTAGAAGAACTGATGTACCACGTCTGGCAGTGAGTGAGGTTGGCGGCTGGTCAATCTGCTCCTGGCACACCCTTGCAGAGGAGGCTGCTTGCTCTTTGAGCCAGCTTGGCCTTGCCTGGCATGCACAAGCCTCACTGCAACAAGTGTGCTACAAATGGAGCCATATAGAGGAAATGATCAGCAGTCTCAGGAAAGGGGCGTGCACTGCCTTTGTGGCTCCAGTCCATGCCTCAGGGCTCGTATGGCACTGTAGGTTTCTTGGTCGCCAACAGGCAGACCACAGGCTTTCTTGAGGAGGACTTTATGTTCAAGTGCAGAAAGCAGCCAAGATTAGCACCCAGGGGACTGGGCCTTCTGTGGCCCTGGCCAGACTTAGAATTTGACCCAAGGCAGGACAAGCTGACTCGGAGCAGAGTGTCAGTACCTGGGGCCTATGCATGCCAGGCAAGGCCAAGCTGGCTCAGAGCAACTAGCCACATCTGCAAGGCTGCACCTGTAGCAGGCAGACAAGCCAGCAACCTCAGCTACTCAAGGAAGGAGGGATGGCCAGGTTCCCACAGCCTGAGTGGTTGCCGCCTGATGACTGATAGAGCAGAGGCCTGAGGAAAAGCATATGGCACTGGGGCCCTACCTCTAGGGTAGAAGAACTGATGTAAGCTGACCGGCAGCAAGTGAGGTTGGTAGCCGGTCCACCGGTTCCTGGCACAACCTTGCAGAGGTGGCTGGTTGCTTTTTGAGCCAGCTTGGCCTTGCCCGGCATGCACAAGTCTGTGCAACAACTGTGACACAAATGGAGCCACACAGAGAAAATGAGCAGCAGGCTCAGGAGCAGGGTGTGTGCTTCCTCAGGAGCCCCAGTCCATGCCTAAGGGTTCATATGGCACTGTGGGCTTCTTGGTTGCAAAGAGGTAGACCACAGGCCATCTTCAGGAGGTCTTTATGTGGAAGTGCAGAAAGCAGCCAGTATTACCACCCGTGGGACTCGGCCTTTTGTGGCCCTGGCCTGACAGAATTTGGCCCAAGGCAGGACAAGCTCACTCGGAGCAACATGTCAGAACCTGGGGCCTGTGCATGCCAGGCAAGGCCAAGCTGGCTTAAAGAGCACCCAGAGCATCCATTCTGGTGGATAAGCCAACCACATGGCCAGCTTCTGGGTGTGGACACAGTGCCACATCTTCCATCGCTTTCTGACGTATCCCACCAACACTGAAGAGACAGCCTGGAGAGAGTGCAAGAGGAAGGCTGAGAAGGATCAGATAGTGAGTGCTGGCTTCTTTCTGACCCTCAGCACAACCCCAGGTGGTGACCATCAACCTTTAGGGGTGGGAGAGCAAGACTGATGGCTTCAAACGCTTCCCCAAGAAGATGGACACAGGCCACTCAGCTCATCCTCACAGCCAATGAGTTGACAAGCAAGCAGATGACAGTGACAGGCTTTTAGAAAGAGCATCAGAAGGTGGCCAGTTTTTCTTCAGCCTCAGCCAGGCCTTGGAACTTGACTAGGCCATCCACTTCACCAGAGATGCCTTCAAGAACATCAGTAAGCTCTTTGCCAATGAGTCCAGGAAGGACCTTGGACCCAGCCATGGACCTGTTAGTGCTGTCTCAGGGACACCAGACCAACATCCTGGACATCATCCTCATACACAAGGAAGCTCTTACCAAAGTCACGGAGAACAGGCAACATGTGGCAGAAGTGAAGACAGAGGAGCAGAGGCTGATGGTGTCATTATCACAGGAACAGGATTTCTTTGGCCACTTTGGCTGAAATTCACCACTTCCATCCAATTCACTCAAGCGAGAGACTTGAAATCACAGATGGACCATTTCTTGCAACAAGAGATACTATTTTTTCAAAAAGTCACCTAAAATTTGATAGTGTTGAATGACTAGCTATTCTATTGTGGACTTTTTCCAGTTCACGGGTACTTTCTACAGCAGAATGATAACAGTATCAAAGAGCTAGTGCCAGCTATCGGTGGTAGTACAAGGATGACTTTGTGCTCAACTGAAACCCAGCTGAATATAGACTTGTGTAGGAAAGTGTTAATATGGTGATAGAATAGAAACAGTAGCAAATGAACTAAATCATACTATGAATGCCTACACTACCATTATAACTTTTTGAAGAATGATAATACTACTTACTTTATTGCCTTTTGAAGTAGGAATATTTTAGTGGATATGCTATAGACCTGAAACCCTATAAAGAATCCCAAAGAAGCTGGCTGGATAAAGCCTGCTATGGATGTCTTTATACTCAAAGACTGATGAGGCAATTCGAATATGTGTCCCCACCAAATCTCATGTTGAGTTATGCTTCCTAATGTTGGAGGTGGATCCTGGTATAAGATGACTGAATCATGAAGGCAAATTTCTCATGAGTGGTTCAGCACCATCCCCTTGGTACTGTCCTCACAATCATGAGTGAATTCTCGTGAGATCTGGCCACTGAAAACTCTATATCACTCCCTACTCTCCGTGATTTCCTCTTGCCATATGAGACAATTCACTCTTTCATTTACCTTGCACAATGATTGAAAGATTTCTGAGGCCCCCCAGAAGCAGAAGCACTAAGCTTCTTGTCCACTCTGCAGAACCATGAGCCAATTAAACCTCTTTTTCAAAATAAATCTTACCAAAAATGGCAAATGAGGACTGCAGCATTGCTATAAAGATACCTGAAAATGTGGAAGCAACTTCGGAACTGGGTAATGGGTAGAGGTTGGAAGAGTTTGGAGGGCTCCAAAGAAGACAGACAGATGAGAACATTTTTGGACCATCTTAGAGACTGGTTAAATGGCTGTGACAAGGATGCTGACAAAAACATGGACAGTGAAGGCCAGGCTGAGGGGGCCTCAGATAAAAATAAGAAGCTTTCTGGAAAATGTCTCTCTTTTGGATATGGAAAACTTACACAATGCCTGTACCATCATTGTACCTTAGACGCAGTGAACTTGCTTTTTATTTCAGAGACTCGTAGGCAAAAGAGAATGTAGCCTTGACCCAGATGAGACTTTGGACTTTGTAACTTTGAGTTAATGCTGAAATGAGTTAAGACTTTGGGAGACTGCTGGCAAGGCATGACTGTATTTTGCAATGTGAGAAGGACATGAGATTTGTGGGGTCAGGGACAGAATAATACGGTTTTTCTCTATGCCCCTTCCAAAACTCCTGTGAAAGTACACTCCCTAATGTTAGAGTCGGGGCCTAGGTGGAAAAAGCTTTAATCATAAAGGGGTGGGAGTGGATCCTTCACAAATGGCAAAGCACCAAGCCCTTAATGCCATCCTCCTGATAGTGAGTGAGTTCTCATGACATCTAGTAGTTTAAAAGGCTGTGGAACCTCTTTCCTCTCTCTGTCTTGTTCCAACTTTTGCCATATGAAACATGTCATTGCCACTTGGATTTCTGGCGTGGTTAGGAGGGGCCTGATCAGTGTGGGCCTGGTCAGTAGACCTAGGTCAGTGAGGACTATTTAGTGGGATCATGGTCAGCAGGGGTCTGCTTAGAGACGGTCTCATTAGTGGGGTCTAGTAGTGGGGGTTTTGGTGAGTGGGGACCTATTGGCTGCCAGTCGTTTGGTGTCTGGTCAGTGCAAACCTGGGCTGTGGGGCTTGATCAGTGGAGACCTGGTCAGCTGGGGCTTAGTGCTGGTCTGGTCAGCATGGGCTGGGGCACTGGTGACCAGGTCAAGGGGTGCTACTCAGTGCAGGACTGGGCACATGAGACTTAGTCAGCAGACCCTGGTGGGCGTGTCCTCATCAGTGAGGCCCTTGTCAGTGGGGTCCTGGTCAGGGCCGCCTTGCCAGTGGGACCTAATCTGTAGTGTCCTAATCAGAGAGGACTTGGTCAGTGGTGACTTTTGTAGCACTGGTCTACAGGGTGACCTGGTCAGCGGGGATCTCAGCATTTGGTGCCAGTTCAGTGGGGTCTACTCACTAGGGTCCCAGTCAGGGGCATCTGGTGACCTTAGGCCTGGTTATTAGGGGCCTGATCAGTGGCAACCTGTTCCCTGGAGGCCTGGTCAGTGGGGCCTCATCTTTGGGGCCAGGGAATGAGGTCATGATCAGTGGAACCTGATCAGTGAGGCCTTGTCAATAATGACCTAGTCAGTGAGGACTTGTCAGTAAGGACTTGGTCCGTGAGGCCTTGTCAGTAAGGTCCTGGTCGGTGGAGTCCTTGTCATTGTGTGCCCGGCAGTGGGGGCCTTGTTAGTGGGGCCTGGTCATGAGGGTCTAATCAGTGAGGGTGTCGTCAGGGAGGACCTGATGTGTGGGGTCTGGTCAGCAGGGACCTGGTCAATGTGGGCTGCTGAGCACTGCTTGGATAAGCCAGGTGCAATGTGCATTATTGAAGGCCCTGTGGACAGCTGGGATAGCCCAGTGATGCCCAAGGGCCTAGTCAAAAGTGGACAAAGCACGTGTTTGGATGGACCTGGGAGATCCTGCTCAGAGATTCTGACAGGACAAAGGTAAAGGAAGGGCTAGAGTGGCTGCAGAGATGGTCACAGTCTATGGGCTGCACAGGATGAAGGAGGCCAGGGAACAGGCAGGGTGGGCAGTTGGGGTTCAGGGAGAGGCAGGTGCATGCTGGGAGGTCAGACCCTGTGAGGGCTTTGGGGGCGTCAGGTTGGGTAGGCTCCAGGCACTCTCACTCACATAGGATTCCAGAACACTGCTACAAGGCTCTGAGTGTTTGTCCCTCACATAGGATTCCAGAACACTGATGCCATTGTCTGAATGTTTGTCCCCCACATAGGATTCCAGAAGCCTGCTGCTGGGGTCTGAATGTTTGTCCCCCATCTAGGATTCCAGAACACTGCTGCGAGGGTCTGAATGTCTGTCCCTCACATATGATTCTAGAACATTGATGCTAGGGTCTGTATGTTTGCCCTTAACATATGATTTCAAAACACTGCTCCTGAATTCTGAATGTTTGTCCTTCACATAGGAATACAGAACACTGCTGCTGGAGTCTGGAAGTTTGTCACTCACATAGAATTCCAGAACACTGCTGTGAGGATCTGAATGTTTGACCCTCACATGGGATTCCAGAACACTGCTGCGAGGGTCTAAATGTCTGTCCCTCACATAGGTTTCCCGAACAATGTTATGAGGTTCTGAATGTTTGTCCCTAACATAGGATTTCAGAGCACTCCTGCTGTGCTCTGAATGTTTCTCCTTCACATAGGATTCCAGAACACTGCTACGAGGGTCTGAATGCTTATCCCTCATATAGGATTCCAGAACACTCCTGCTGTGTTCTGAATGTTTGTCCCTCACATAGGATTCCAGAACATTCATGCTGGGGTCTCAATGTTTCCCTTAACATAGGATTTCAGAACACTCTTGGGGTCTGAATGTTTGTCACTCACATAGGATTACAGAACACTGCTGCTGGAGTCTGAATGTTTGTCAGTCACATAGAATTCCAGAACACTGCTACAAGGGTGTGAATATTTCTCCCTCACCTAGTATTCCAGAACACTGTTGCAAGGGTCTGAATGTTGGCCCGTCATATAGGATTCCAGAACACTGCTGCTGTGGTCTGAATGTTTGTCCCTCACATAGAATTCCGGAACACTGCTACAAGGGTCTGAATGTTTGTCCTTCACATACCATTCCAGAACACTGCTGCCGTGGTCTGAATGTATGTCCCTCACATAGGATTCCAGAACACTGCCACGTGGGTCTGAATGTTTGCCCTCACATAGGATTCCAGAACACTACTGCTGGGGTCTGAATGTTTGACCCTCACATAGGATTCCAGAACACTCCTGCTGTGGTCTGAATGACCCTCACATAGGATTCCAGAACACTCCTGCTGTGGTCTGAATATTTGTCCCTCACATAGGACTCCAGAACACTGCTAAGATGGTCTGAATGTCCCTCACATTGTATTCCAGAACACTCCTTCTGTGGTCTGAATGTTTGTTCCTCACATAGGATTCGAGAACACTCCTGCTGTGGTCTGAATGTTTGTCCCTTACCTAGGATTCGAGAACATTCACACTGGGATGTAAATGCTTGCCCTTAACATAGGATTTCAGAACACTGCTCCTGGGGTCTGAAAGTTTGTCCCTCACATAGGATTCCAGAACTCTCCTGCTGTGGTCTGAAAGTTTGTACCGCACATAGGATTCCAGAACACTGCTGCTGTGGTCGGAATGTTTTTCTGTCACATAGGATTCCAGAACACTGCAGCTGGGTTCTGAATGTTTGTCCCTCACATAGGATTTCAGAACACTGCTACGAGGGTCTGATTGTTGGTCCCTCACATAGGATTCCTAAACACTGCTGCTGGGCTCTGAATGTTTGTCCCTCACATTGGATTGCAGAACACTACTGCTATGGTCTGAACGTTTGTCCGTCACATAGGATTCCAGAACGCTCCTGCTGTGGTCTGAATGTTTGTCTGTCACATAGGATTCCAGAACACTGCGGCTGGGGTCTGAATGTCCCTGACATAGGATTCCAGAACATTGCTATGAAAGTCTGAATGGTTGTCTTTCACATAGCATTCCAGAACACTGCTACGAGGGTCTGAATGTTGGTCCCTCACACAGGATTCCAGATCCCTCCTGCTGGGGTCTGAATGTTTGTCCCTCACAAAGGATTCCAGAACACTGCTATGAGGGTCTGAATATTTGTCCCTCACATAGGATTCCAGAACACTCCTGCTGTGGTCTGAATGGTTGTCCCTCACATAAGATTCCGGAACACTTCTGCTGTGGTACGAATGTTTGTGTCTCACGTAGGATTCCAGAACACTGCTACGAGGGTCTCAATGTTTGCCCCTCACATAAGATTCCAGAACACTGCTGCTGGGGTCTGAATGCTTGTCCCTCACATACGATTACAGAACACTGTTGCTGGGGTGTGAATGTTTGTCCCTCACATGGGATTCCAGACCACTGCTGCTGGGGTCTCAATGTCTGTCCCTCAAAAAAGGATTCCAGAACACTGTTACAAGGGTCTGAATTTTTGTTCCTCACTTAAGACTGCAGAACACTGCTTCGAGGGTCTAAATGTCTGTCCTTCACATAGGATTCCAGAACACTGCTACGAGGGTCTGAATGTTTGTCCTTCACATAACATTTCAGAACTGCCATGGTCTGAATGGTTGTCCCTCACATAGTATTCCAGAACACTGCTATGAGGGTCTGAATGTTTGTACCTCACATAGGATTCCAGAACACTGCTATGAGTGTCTGAAAGTTTGTCCCTCACATAGGATTCCAGAAGACTGCTGCTGGGGTCTGAATGTCTGTCCCTCACATCGGATTCCAGAACACTGCTGCTGGGGTTTGAATGTCTGTCCCTCACATAGAATCCCAGAAGACTGCTGGGAGGGTCTGAATGTTTGTCCCTCACATAGGATTCCAGAACACTGCTACAAGGTTCTGAATGTTTGTCCCTCACATAGGATTCCAGAACACTGCTACGAGGGTCTGAATGTTTGTCCTTTACATAGGATTCCAGAACACTCCTTCTGGGGTCTGAATGTTTGTCCCTCACATAGGATTCCAGAGCACTCCTGCTGTGGTCTCAATGTTTTTTAATCACATAGGATTCCAGAACACTTCTACAAGGGTCTGAATGTTTGTCCCTCACATAGGATTCCAGAATATTCCTGCTATGGTCTTAATGCTTGTCCCTCACATAGGATTCCAGAACATTCATGTTGGGGTCTGAATGTTTGCCCTTATCATAGGATTTCAGAACAGTGCTCCTGGGGTCTGAATGTTTGTTCTTCATATAGGATTTAAGAACACTCCTGCTTTGGTCTGAAAGTTTGTCCCTCACATAGGATTCCAGAACTCTCCTGCTGTGGTCTGAAAGTTTGTCCTTCACGTAGGATTCCAGAACACTGCTGCTGTGGTTTGAATGTTTGTCCCTCACATAAGATTCCAGAACACTGCTACGAGGGTCTGAATGTTTGTCCCTCACATAGGATTCCTGAGCATTGTTGCCGTGGTCTGAATGTTTGTACCTCACATAGGATTCCAGAACAGTGCTACGAGGGTCTGAATGTTTCTCCCTCACATAGGATTCCTGAGCATTGTTGCCGTGGTCTGAATGTTTGTACCTCACATAGGATTCCAGAACAGTGCTACGAGGGTCTGAATGTTTCTCCCTCACATAGGATTCCAGAACACTTCTGCTGGTGTCTGAATGTTTGTACCTCACATAGGATTCCAGAACACTGCTGCTGGGGTCTGAACGTCTGTCCCTCAGATAGGATTCTAGAACACTGCTGTTGGGGTTTGAATGTCTGTCCCTCACATAGAATTCCAGAACACTGCTGCGAGTGTCTGAATGTTTGTCCCGCAGATGGGATTCTAGAACACTGCTGTGAGGGTCTAAATGTCTGTCCCTGACATAACATTCCAGCACACTGCTACAAGGTTTTGAAATGTTTGTCCCTCACATAGGATTACAGAGCACTCCTGCTGTGGTCTGAATGTTTGTCCCTCACATAGGATTCCAGAACACTCCTGCTGTGGTCTGAATGTTTGCCCCTCACATAGGATTCCAGAACATTCCTGCTGTGGTCTGATTGTTCCTCAAATAGGATTCCAGAACACTGCTACGAGGTTCTGAATTTTTGCCCCTCACATAGGATTGCAGAACACTGCTACAAGGGTTTGAAAGTTTTCCCCTCACATAGGATTCCACAACACTCCTGCTGTGATCTGAATGTTTGTCCCTCACATAGGATTCTCGAGCACTCCTTCTGTGGTCTGAATGTTTTTTCCTCACATAGGATTCCTGAAGACTGCTGCTGTCACTATAGTCGTTGCGAGTGTCTGAATGCTTGACCTTCACCAAACACTAAATATCCTGCCCCTTTAGTCTTGGACTTTCCAGCCTCCAGATCTGTGAGCAATAATCTCTGTTGTTTATGAATTACTCAGTCTAAAGTATTTTGTTATAGTAGCCTAAAGAGACTAAGAGAGCATCACCTGCCCTGTCACCTCATCACCGCATTACTAAAGCTATACTAACAGCAGTCACCTTTAGTGGGTGCTTCATGCATGAGAATAAAGGGAAAAAATTGCAAGGCATACTAAAATCCAAAAAAAGAAAAAAATACAATTTGTGTCAACAGAGCAAGCTTCAGAAGCAGACAAAGATATGATTTTGGAATTTTTTTTAAACCTCTGGAGAATATGCTAAGGGCCTAATGAATGAAGTAGACAGCATTCAAGTGTAGATGGGTAATGTAATCAGAAAGACAGACATCGCAAGAAACTTCAACATAATGTAGTGGTAAAAAATGTGGTAAATAACTGAAGAATACCTCTGATGGCTTATTAGTAGACTGGACTCAGCTGAGTAAAGAATCTCTGAGCTTGAGGATTTATCATCAGAAACTTTGAAAACTAAAGAAAAGAAACACTGAAAAGAACAGAAGATGATATCCAAGACTGTGGGACAACTACAAAAGGTGAAACAGAGTAATGAGAATACCAGGAGGAGAAGAAATAGAAGAAAGTTCTGCAACAACCATGTCTGAGAACTTCCAGTATTAATGTCAGACACCAAACCAAAGATCCAGGAAGCTCAGAGAACACCAGGCAGAATAAATGCCAACAACCTACACTTGGACATATAATTTTCAAACTATATGAAATAAAAGATAAAGGAAAACTCTGAAAGAAACCAGAGGTGATCCCAGCACTTTGGGAGGCCGAGGCGGGTGGATCATGAGGTCAGGAGATCGAGACCATCCTGGCTAACAAGGTGAAACCCCGTCTCTACTAAAAATACAAAAAATTAGCCGGGCGCGGTGGCGGGCGCCTGTAGTCCCAGCTACTCGGGAGGCTGAGGCAGGAGAATGGCGTGAACCCAGGAAGTGGAGCTTGCAGTGAGCCGAGATTGCGCCACTGCAGTCCGCAGTCCGGCCTGGGCGACAGAGCGAGACTCCGTCTCAAAAAAAAAAAAAAAAAAAAAAAAAAAGAAACCAGAGGTGGGGCAGAAAACACCTTACCTACGGAGACACAAAGATAAGAACTGCATTCAACAATGCAGAAACTGTGAAAGCAAGAAGACAGTGAAATGAAAAATTCAAAATGTTGACAGAAAAAACCCACCAACCTAAGTTTCTGTACCCACTGAAAACACCCTTCAAAAGTGAAGGAGAATTAAGGCCTTCCTCAGAAAAATAAAAATTCAAGAAACTTATTGCCAGGAGACCTGTCTTGCAAGAAATGTTAAATGAAATTCTTTAGAGGGAAACAAAAGATATATAACTGAAACCTGGATCAACATTTTTTAAAAAAGAGCATTAAAGAATTGTGGTACAATAAAAACCTATGTATTTATTCTTAATTGATCTGACCAAGAAGTTCATAGACAATAACAAATACACACAGATAGATTATGTATGCTTATACACAAGTTAAATGAGTAACACTAATACAAGGAATGGAATGGAAGGATGGGAGGGAGGAATTGTGGTACAATAAAAACATGTATTTATTCATAATTGATCTGACCAATAAGTTTGTAGATAATAATAAATACACACAGATAGATTATGTATGCTTATACACAAGTGAAATAAGGAACAATAATACAAGGAATGGAATGGAAGGATGGGAGAGAGGAATCAGGTGTTTTCTTTGTTAAGCAGGTAGTCACCCGTGAAGTGGGATAGTGTTATCTGAAAGTGGACTTGAATTGGTTGTAAATGTATATTGAGGAATTAGGTGTGTTCTTTGTTAAGCAGGTAGTCTTATTTGTGGGATAGTGGGATAGCGTTATTTGAAAGTGGACTTCAATTTGTTGTAAATGTTACTGAGGAATTAGGTGTTTTGTTTGTTAAGCAGGTAGTCTTATTTGTGGGATAGTGGGATAGTGTTATTTGAAAGTGGACTTGAATTGGTTGTAAATGTATATTGCAAATTCTGTGGCAACTAGTTAAAAAAAAAGTTTTAAAAAGAGAAGTACATGCTAAGAAAGACAGGGAAAATGTAGTCATCTAAAATCATCAATGAAAACTGCAAAAGGCAGAAAAAGAGTGGTAGACAAAAGAATGGAGACTGAGGAGAATGAATAGAAAACAGTAACAAATATAGTAGATATTAATCCAATGATATCAATAATCACTTTGAATGTTAATGGTATGAATGTACCAATTCAAAGATAAAGATTGTCAGAGTCTATCAAAAGACAGACACATCTTGTTTCACTGCACTTTGCTTTATTGTGTTTTGTGACCATGTGTTTTACATATTGAAGGTTTGTGGCCACCCTGCAATAAGCAGGTCTCACTGGCACCATTGTTCCTACAGCACGTGCTCACTTCACGTCTCCGTGTCACATTTCGGTCATTCTCACAGTATTTTAAGCTTTTTATTATTGAATCGGTTATAGTGATCTGTAATCAGTGATCTTTAATGCTACTGTTGTCATTGTTTTGGGAACCACAAATCACACCAGGATAAGACAGCAAACAATTGACAAATGCATTTGTTCTGACTGCCCCACCAATGGGCCATTTCTCTTTCTCTCTCTTTTTCTCAGGCTTCTTTTTATTAATATTAAAATGTGGCCAATTAATAACCCTAAAATAGCCTCTATATGTTCAAGTGAAAGAAGAGTTGCATGTCTGTCACTTTAAACCAAAAGGAAGAAATAATTAAGCTTAGTGATGAAGGCATGCTGTAAGCAAGACAGGCCAGTAGCTAGACCTCATGCAACAAACACTTAGCCAAGTTGTGAATGCAAAGGAAGTGTTCTGGAAAGAAATTTAAAGTACTACTCTAGTGAATACATGAATGATAAAAAGCTAAACAATCTTGCTGCTCTTATGAAGAAAGTTTAATTGGTCTAGATAGAAGATAAAAAAAAACAAAAAAAATTCCATTAAGCCTAAGCCTAACTCTCTTTTTACTTTTTTTCTTTGTTTTTGAGACAGAGTTTCATTCTTCTTGCCCAAGCTGGAGTACAATGGCGTGATCTTGGCTCATCACAACCTCTGCCTCCCAAGTTCAAGCCATTCTCCTGCCTCAGCATCCCGAGTAGCTGGGATTACAGGCATGCACCACCACGCCTGGCTAATTTTTTGTATTTTTAGTAGAGACGGGGTTTCTCCACGTTGGTCAGACTGGTGTCGAACTCCCGACCTCAGGTGATCTGCCCGCCTCTGCCTCCCAAAGTGCTAGGATTACAGGTGTGACAGCCACCGCACCCGGTCTCCCTTCAATTCTATGAAGACTTAGAGAGGTGAGGCAGCTGCAGAAGAAAAGTCTGAAGCTAGAAGAGCTTGTTTCTTGAGGTTTAAGGAAAAAAGTCATCTCCATAACATAAAAGCGCAAGATAAAGCAGCAAGTACTGATGGAAAAACTGCAGAAAGCTATCTAGAAGATAATTGATTAAGATGGCTACACTAAACAGATTTGCAATGGAGACAAAACAGACTTCTACTAGAAGGAGATGCCATCCAGGATGTTCCCAGCTAGAGAGGAGTTGATGCCTGGCTTTAAGGCTTCAAAGGACATGCTGACTCTTTTGTTAAGGCCTAATGCAATTGGTGATGTTAACTTGAAACCAATGATGATTTACTATTCTGAAAATCCAAGGGCCCTGAAGAATTATGATAAAACACAGCTCTGCCTGTACTCTACAAATGGGAACAAAGCCTGGATGACAGACTATCGGTTTACAAATACGGTTTACTGAATATCTTAAGCCCACTGTCGACAACTACTGCTCAAGAAATAAGATTCCTTTCAAAGTATTACCGCTCAATGACAATGCCGCTGGTACTCAAGGGCTTTTACAGAGATGTATAAAGACCTGAATATTGTTTTCATGCCTACTAACCCAACATTCATTCTGGTGCCCTTGGATCAAAGAATAATTTCAACTTTCAAGTCTTATCACTTAAAAATATATTCATAAAGCTATAGCTTCTTTAGAAAGTGATTCCTTTGATGGATCTGGGCAAAATAATTGAAAACCTACTGGAAAGGATTCACCATTCTAGATGTCATTGAGAACATTCATGATTTAAAAAAGATCAAAATAGCAACATTAGGAGAAGTTGGGGCCGGGCTTGGTGGCTCACGCCTGTAATCCCAGCACTTTGGGAGGCCAAGGCACGTGGATCACGAGGTCAGGAATTTGAGACCAGCCTGGCCAACATAGTGAAATCCTGTCTGTGCTAAAAACACAAAAAAAATTAGCTGGGCCTGGTCGGGGGTGACTGTAATCCCAAACACTTGGGAGGCTGAGGCAGGAGAATTGCTTGAACAGGGGAAGTGGAGGTTGCAGTGAGCTGAGATCGCATCACTGCACTCCAGCCCAGGCAAGACTTCATCTCAAAAAAAAAAAAAAAAAGAGAGAGAAGTTGGGAAGATTATTCCAAACCTCACAGATGACACAGGGGTTCACGACTTCTGTGGAGGAAGTAACTGCAGATATGGTGGAAATAACAAGAGCACTAGAATCAGAGAAAGAGCCTGAAGATCTGGCGAGACTGCAGCAGCCTCTGGAGAAAAAGTGAGAGGATGAGTTGCTCCCACGGATGAGCAAAGAGAGTGGTTTCTTGAGATGAAATCTACTCGTGGTGAAGACAGTGTAAACAATGTTGAGATGACAACAGATTTACAATAAACTTGGTACAGCAGAAGGAAGGCTTGACAGGATTGAACCCAATGATTTACAATAATACATAAACTTAGTTGGTACAGCCGTACGAAGGTTTGACAGCATTGCATCCAATTTTGAAAGTTCTACTGTGGGTAAAAAGCTATCATCGTATGCTACAGTTAATTCTTTTGTGAAAGGGAGAGTCAATTGACACAGCAAACTTCAACGTTGTCTTATTTTAAGAAATTGCCACAGCCACCCCAACGCTCAGCAACCACCACCTTACATTAACATAAGACCCTCCATCAGCAAGAAGACTGAAACTTGGCCAGGTGCAGTGGCTCACACCTGTCATCCCAACACCTTGGGAGGCCAAGGTGGGTGGATTGCTTGAGCCCAGGACGTCAAGGCAACGTGGCAAAACCCCATCTCTACAACAAAAAAAAAAATACAAAAATTAGCTGGACATGGTGGCATGTACCTGTAGTCCCAGCTAGTCAGGAGTCTGAGGTGGGGGTTTGATTGAGCATGAGGTTGAGGCTGCAATTACTCCAGCCTGAGCCACAGAGTAAAACCCTGTCACACACACAAAAAAAGATTGCAGCTTTCTGAAGGCTCAGATGACTGTTAGCACTTGTTAACAATAAAGTATTTGTAAATTAAAGTGTGCATACTTTGTAGACATATGCTATTGCACACTTTATACAGCACAGTATAAACATACTTTTACATGCACTGGGAAACAAAAAGAAATTGTATAACACTTTATTGCAGTGGTCTGGAACCAAACCCACATATATCTCTGATGCACGGCCGTCCTGTATTGTACACTTAAAAAAATACTTAAGAGGGTATATTTTAGGTGAAATGGTCATCTCATTTTTTTTTTGAGACGGAGTCACACTCTGTTGCCCAGGCTGGAGTGCAGTGGCACGATCTCGGCTCACTGCAAGCTCTGCCTCCCGAGTTCACACCATTATCCTGCCTCAGTCTCCCGAGTAGCTGGGACTACAGGTGTCCGCCATCACACCTGGCTAATTTTCTGTATTTTTAGTAGAAACGGGGTTTCACTGTGTTAGCCAGGATGGTCTTGATCTCCTGACCTCGTGATCCACCTGCCTTGGCCTCCCAAATTGCTAGGATTACAGGCGTGAGCCACCACTCCCGGTCTCATTTTTTAAAAAGGGTGAGAATGAGAAATATATGGGGGGTGATGGTCAAGTTTACGGTATTATTTGTTGTGATGAGTCCTGGGGCGAATATTTATCTCTATACTCATTAAGATGTATATATTCGGTGTCACATGCCTGTAATCCCAGCACTTTGGGAGGCCGAGGCAGGTGGATGATCTGAGGTCAGGCGTTCGAGACCAGCCTGGCCAACATGGTGAAACCCTGTCTCTACTAAAAAAATACAAAAATTAGCCGGGCGTGGGGGTGCACGCCTGTGATCCCAGCTACTCAGGAGGCTGAGGCAGGAGAATTGCTTGAACCTGGGATGCAGAGGTTGCAGTTAGCTGAGATCATGTCACTGCACTCCAGACTGGGCAACAAGAGTAAAACCTCCATAACACACACACACACACACACACACACACACACACAAGGTATATATTAAATATGTGTAATTTTTGTATGTCAACCACACCTTAGTTTTATTTTGTTTTATTTTTTTGGGACAGAGTCTCACTCTGTCACCCAGGCTGGAGTCCAGTGGTGCAATCTTGGCTCACTGCAAGCTCCACCTCCCAGGTTCACACCATTCTCCTGCCTCAACCTCCGGAGTAGCTGGAACTACAGGCACCCGCCACCACGCCCGGCTAATTTTTTGTATTTTTAGTAGAGATGGCGTTTCACAGTGTTAGCCCGGATGGTCTCGATCTCCTGACGTGATCTGCCTGCCTCAGCTTCCCAAAGTGCTGCGATTACAGGTGTGAGCCACCGCGCCCAGACAATTTTTATTTTTTTTGAGACAGAGCCTCACTCTGTCACCCAGGCTGAAGTGCAGTGGCACTATCTTGGCTCACTGCAACCTCTGCCTCCTATGTTCAAGCAATTCTCCTGCCTCAGTCTCCCGAGTAGCTGGGACTACAGATGCATGCTATCACGCCTGGCTAATTTTTTGATTTTTAATAGAGATGAGGTTTCACCATGTTGGCCAGGCTGGTCTCAAACTCCTGACCTCATGTGATCTGCCCACCTCAGCCTCCCAAAGTGCTGGGATTACAGGTGTAAGCCACTGCACCTGGCAATTTTTAAATATATATAATTAAAATTTAATAAAAAACAGGTATTTGCAAGTTTCCGTTTTGTTATATGCTTATTATTCTTTATATTTATGTCAGGTTGCTGTGTCAATACACTTAGGAGATCATAGTTTCTAAATTGAAATACAAATAAATATGTCTGAAATTTTTACTTTTTTCTTTTTTTTTGAGACAGACTCTCATTCTGTCACCCAGGCTGGAGTGCAGTGGTGCAATCTCAGCTCACTGCAACCTCCGCCTCCCAGATTCAAGTGATTCTCCTGCCTCAGCCTCCAGAGTAGCTGGGATTACAGGCACCCGCCATGACACCCAGCTAACTTTTATATATATATTTTTTCTATTTTTAGTAAAGACAGGGTTTCACCATGTTGGCCAGGGTGGTCTCCAACTCCTGACCTCAGATGATCCTCCCGCCTCGGCCTCCTCAAGTGCTGGGATTACAGGTGTGAGCCACTGTGCCTGGCCTGGAATTTTTTTCTAAAATTTACATTTCTGAGTTAAGAATGCTTAAAATGTTATAAAAACAGAAGCACAATTCATTATGTGTTTCATTAATTACCTTTATTAAAAACAACACAATTATATTACAATAGGACAAAAAATGTTTAAGCAAATGAAAACGAAACCATGACATACCCAAACTCAGGAGGAGGCAACAAAGGCAGTGCTAAAGGGAAGCTTACAGCTCCAGATGCTTAAATTAAAAAGAAGATCTCAAACCCATGCTAAAGGGAAGCTTACAGCTACAGATCCTTAAATTAAAAAGAAGAAAGATCTCAAACCCATGCTAAAGGGAAGCTTACAGCTGCAGATGCTTAAATTAAAAAGAAGAAAGATCTGAAACCCTTGCTAAAGGGAAGCTTATAGCTGCAGGTGCTTAAATTAAAAAGAAGAAAGATCTCAAATCAATAACCTAACATTACACCTGAAGGGGGGAAAAAAAAACTAATGACAAACCAAGCAAAAGGAAGAAAATAACAGATTAGAGCAGAGATAAGCAGAATAAGACCAGAAAAAAGGAAAAAAACAGAGTTTGTTTTTTTAAAGATCAATAAAAATTTTAAAACTCACAGCTATATTAAGAAAAAAGAGAAATCTCAAATACTAAAATCATAAATAAAAGAGGTGACAGTACAACAGATTCCACAGAAATGAAAAAGATTACAAGAGACTAATGTGAGCAACCATATGCCACAAAACTGGGCAACCTAGAATAAATTTATAAATTCCTAGAAACACAAACCACCATACTGCATCATGGAGAAATAAAAAATCCAAAGAGACCTGTAACTAGTAAGAAGATTCAACCAGTAATCAAAAACCCCACCAAAAAGAAAATTCCAGGTCCAGATAACTTCACTGGAAAATTTTACCAAATATTTCAAGAAGAATTAATGCCAATCCTCTGCAAAATATTCCAAAAATGTTCAAAAACCAGAAGGGGACATTCCAATCCATTTATCAGGTCAACGTTTATCTGGTTCCAGAGCCAGATGAACACCTTTTGTAATAAAAACACTCAAAGAATTAGTAATATATGGAAACTCCTCGGTAAATAAAGATTATACATGAAAAGCTCACAGCTAACATCATACTCAATGGTGAAAGACTAAAATCTTTTCCTCTAGGATCAGGAATAAGATAGCAACATCTCTTCCTGCCACTTCTATTCATCACAGTACTGGAATTTCTACTCAGAATAATTAGTCAAGAGAAAGTAATAAAAAGGATGCAAATTGGAAAGGAAAAAGTACAAAATTTTGTTCACAGACAACAGGATGTAATGGGTAAAAATCCTGAAATTCCCAAAATACTGGTAAAATAATGAAATTCAACAAAGTTTCAGGATACAGTAACACACACAAGTCAGTTGCATTTCCATAAACTAACAATGAACAATCTGCAAATAAAATTTTAAAAAGAGAGGCCAGGTGCAGTGGCTCACACTTATAATCCCAGCACTTTGGGAGGCCAAGGCGGGTAGACCACCTGAGGTCAGGAGTTCGTGACCAGCTGGGCCAAACCCATCTCTAAAATAAATAGTAAAACTCTGTCTCTATTAAAAATACAAAAATTCGCTGGGCGTAGTGGCAGACAACTGTAGTCCCAGCTACTTGGGAGGCTGAGGCAGGAGAATTGCTTGAACTTGGAAGGTGGAAGTTGCAGTCAGCTGAGATTGTGCCACTGCGCTCCAGCTTAGGAAACTGAGTGAGACGCCATCTCAAAGAAAAGAAAGAAAGGAAAGAAAGAGAGAGAAAGAAAAGAAAAGAAAGATAAAACAACAGAAAAGAAATTTTTAAAAAGAATGACATTTGGCTGGGTGCAGTGGCTCATGCCTGCAATCCCAGCAGTTTAGGAGGCCGAGGCAGGCAGATCACCTGAGGTCACAAGTTCAAGACTTGCCTGGTCAACATGGAGAAACCCTGTCTCTACTAAAAATACCAAAAAATTAACTGGGCGTGCTGGCGCGCACCTGTGATCCCAGGTACTTGAGAGGCTGAGGTTGGAGAATCGCTTGAATAAAGAAGGCGCCGGTTGCAGTGAGCTGAGATAGTGCCACTGCACTCCAGCCTGGGAGACAGAGCAAGACTCCATCTCAAAAAAAAAAAAAAAAAGTATTACATTTACAACAGCATTATAAAAATTAAAAATAAGCTTAACCAAAAGGGCAAAAGATTTGAACACAGAAAACTACAAAACACTGTTGAAAGAAATTAAACACAAATAAATGAAAAGAAAAGCTGGGTTTGCAGATTAGATGATTTCATCTTGGAATGATGTCAACACTACTCGAAGTGACCTAGATTCAATACAATCCTTATAAAGATTCCAATGACATTTTTGATAAACAGAAAATCCTATCCTAAAATTCATATGGAATCTCCAGGGCCCATGAATAGGCAAATCAATCTTGAAGCAGAACAAAATTAAAGGTCTCAAAACAATTACAAAACTGCAATAAGCCAAAAAAAAATGTGGTCATGGCGTAAAGACATACTTGACACACTTATGGACCAACACAACAGAGACCTCAGAAACCAACCCTGGCATATATGGTCTGATGATCTTCCACAAGGATGCCAAGACCACTCAATGGCGAAGGACAGTTTCTTCAACAAATGGTGTTGGGAAAATTGTATATCTACATGCAAAACAATGAAGTTGGACTCTTACCTTACACCACGTTAAAATTAATTCAAAGTGAATTATAAACCTAAATGTAAAACTAGAACTATCAAACTCCTAGGGAAAACAAATTTGGAAAATGCTTTATGATGATGAATTTGTCAATAATTTTTAGGATATGACATTAAAAGCTCAGGCAGTAAAAGCAAAAATATATCAAACCTAAAAACTTCTGTACCACAAAGGTCACAACCAACAGGGTAAAAGGCAAACTGTAGAATAAAAGAAAATACCAGTTGAGTGTCCCTTATTTGAAATGCTTGGGATGTGTTTCAGATTTTGTAATATTTGCATTATTCTTACTGGTTGAGCATCTCGAATTCAAACACCTGAGTCTGCGATGCTCCAATAAGCATTTCCTTTGAGTGTCATGTTGGCACTCAAAAAGTTTCAGACTTTGGAGCATTTGGGATTTCAGATGTTTGGATCAGAGACATTCAACCTATAGTTGCACATCATGTATCTCATAAGAAGTGAACATTCAGAATACGTAAAGTACTCCTACGGAGAGACTACCAGAAGCAGAGAGGAGCAGACACATTTTCACACTAGGGCACCTCCTATCTCTCCCGGATTCCAATTAGGGCAGAGTAAGTGCTAGTTCTCTGCCAACCCAGGATTAGGCCCTACAGCTGCAGTGAAAATAATCACAGAAGAAAACTAAGAAATAAAAAAATGGAGAAAGTGAGACATCAAACTAAAATTACTAGAAACCCCAAGGAAGAAGGAAAAAGAAACGAAGAAAACAGAAAAACAATTAAACCAGTTAATTAAACCTTGGCATGACCAGAAGATCAGAGTTTCCTAAAGGAGTGGAAATTTATTGATTTGAAGAGGATTTATTGATTACTGATTTGAAGAGGAAGAAAAATCATGAATGGTCTAAAGCAAAAGCCTAGTGTCTGAAGAAGTCAGTAGGGTGAAAACAAGAGTTGGCCAGAATGTCCACAGATGGTGACAAGTTGGCAAAGCCTTTACTAGACTACTCGTGAGGCTAACTAGAGTCCAAGGAGCCGACACTGCCCCTGTCCTTACAGAGAGACCCTACACAGGATTCCCAGATATACATGGAAGGACAACATCTTATCAGGTCCTCTCTGTGCAGATGTGGTTATCATTCCAAATAATGAGCTCCAGCCCCAAGACTGTTCCATCCTCAATTGCTTTGAGTGGGCAATGTAGGCTCTCCACACACGACCTACATGTAGGTTCCTTGGGTACCCAGATGGGAGCCATGAAACACAAACCCTCCATGGTCAGGTCTGTATTTGTTTCCTGCCTTTTTCCCAGCAATCCCCAGGCCCCAGCAGCGGTAGTCTACCTCTGCTGATTCTCATTCAGAATCTAAACTTAGAAACAATTAGAACCTAGACCCCAATTCTACCTGAAAGTAACAGAATAACATAATCTATACCCTGCAGCATGACTGTTTGCCCAACGTAATGAGGATGAACTGAGAGATAATGAATGATCATGACCCTGGCCCAAGTAATGAGAATGAACTGTGAGATAAATGAATGATCATGACAAAAAACCCCGCTACAACCCAACAACAAAATAAAGTGATTAAAAAATGGACAAACAACATTTATCCAAAGATGCAAAGATGATATACAAATAGCCAACAGATACATGAGATATATGAGAAGATGTGTAACATCACTAGTCATTAGAGAAATGCAAAAAGAAACCACAATGGGACATCACTTCAAACCCAATAGAAAGTAACAAGCGCAGGTGAAACTGAAACCCTTGAACACTGTTGGTGGAAATATGAACTGGCTCCTCAAAAAAAAATAAAATAAAATGACCATATGATCCAGCCATCCAACTACTACAGAGACAGAATAACTAGTAGCAGGACCTCAAACAGATATGTGCACACCTAAGTTCACAGCAGCATTACACAGCCACAAGGTGGAAGAAACAAAAACGTCCGTCCAGGAATAGGTGGATAAACAAAAGCATATATATATATGATATATATTATATATATATATAATATATAATATATATAATATATATAATGTATGTATATAATATATATGTAATATATATATAATATATATATGAAGAAATATTATTCAGCCATAAAAAGGAAGAAAATCGTGACACATCTGACACATAACATGGAACCTACTTACAAAACAACAAATATTATATAACCCTAGGTATATAAGCCAAATTTTTAGAAACACAAAGTAGAATAGTACTTGCCAGGAGGTGGAAGGAGGGGGAAATTAATAGTTGTTGAATGGGTATAGAGATTTCCAAGATAAAAAAAAAATCTAGAAATCTGCTACACAACACCGTAAATATTCTTAACTCTACAAAACTGTATACTTACAACTAGTTACGACGGTAAATTTTAAGGTATGTGTTTGTTACCAAAATTCTAAATAATAAATTATTTATAAAAAATGATCTTTTTTGACACAAGGTCTTACTCTGTTGCCCTGGCAGGAGTGCAATGGCATGATCACAGCTCATTGCAGCCTCAACCTCCCAGGCTCAAGCAACACTCCCACCTCAGCCTCCCAAATAGTTGGGACTACAGGTGCACACCAAGATGTCAGGCTAAATTTTGGTTTGGTTTTTTTGTAGAGAGGGTTTTGCCATGATGCCCAGGCTGGTCTCAACCTCCTGGGCTCAAGCAATCCACCTCCCTTGGCCTCCCACAGAGCTGAGATTATGAGCATAAGCCACCATGCCCAGCCTATAAAAAAATATTTCAAAAAGCCAAAATATTAATCAAACTGGAATATTTAGAAATATTTAACCCAAAAGAAGTTAGGAAAGAATATATAGAAGATCAAAACACAGACGAAGGCCAGACATGGTTGCTCATGCCTGTAATCCGAACACTTTGGGAGGCCAAGGTGGGTAGATTGCTTGAGCTCAGGAGTTCAAGACCAGCCTGTGCAACATGGCAAAACCCTATCTCTACAAAAAATATAAAAATTAGCCAGGTGTGTTTCCATGCGCCTGTAGTCCCAGCTACTCAGTGGGCTCCAGTGAGGATTGGTTGGGCCTGGGAAGCAGAGGTTGAAGTAAGCCAACATTGCACCATTGCACTACAGTCTGGGTGACAGAGCAAGACCCTGTCTTAAAAAAAAAACAAACAAATAGAAAATAAGTAGAAAAATGGCAGACCTAAATCCAACCTTAGCAATGATTAGTTACAATGTAACTGGACAAATACTCTACTTAAGACAGAGACTGCCAGACCTGAGAGGAAAGCAAGACCCAACAATATGGCATCCACAGAGACACAATTTAAATACAAAGACACAAAGTATGAGAAAAAATATGCTATGCAGACACTAATCATAAAAATATGCTATCCAGACACTAATCATAAAAAGCTTCAATGGAGATGTTAACACTAGATGAAAGAGGCTCCAGAAAAAAATATATCACCAGAAATAAACAAGGTAATTTCATAAAAATAAAAGAATCAGAGAGGATGATGTTACAATTATAAATTGTGCCTCAAAGTGCAAACAAAGTACACACACACACAGAGCCTCAAATTATGTGAATCAAAAACAACAGAACAAAAGCAGGAAATTGACAATCCAAAATTATAACTGGTGAATTAATACTGCTCTCTCAGTAACTGATGGAACAACCAGATAAAAATATAGGAAAAATACGGATCTAAATGACAAAATCCTGACCCAAATGGTACTTGGCAGTACCAAGATAGACTGTCGATCAATTGAGAAAATGTTCAAGCATGAAATAGTATACAAAGTATGTTGTCTGAACACCTGAAATTAAATTAGAAACCAACAACAAATTGATATCCAGAAAAGCCTCAAATGTCTGAAAACCAAGTAATAAACTTTGAAATACCCTGTAAGTCAAAAAAGTATTCACAAGGGGAACTGGAATGTATTTGGAACAAACTTGTTATAAAAATCATATTTCTGGTAGACTAAAGGTGACAACTTCTTTCCTGCTCCTCTCTCTGTGAGAACCAATTCCCCTTAAACCTTGCCCAGACTACTGACTTGCTTGGCCAACAGAAGGTGACAAAGGTGGTATTTGGGGACTTCAGAAGCCAGGCTGAGAAAACAGAACACTTATCCAGGAGAAAGCCAGTCACCAGGCAGGAAATCCCACTCCCCTGAGACCCCATGATGGAAACCACACGGCCAGTCCATGACTAGCTACATGCATTGACATCCCCCATTGACCCTCTAGCAACACCGACTCCCAACCACTAGTGAGCCTTCAGCAACATCCACTCCCAACCACTAGTGAGCCACCCTGCACACCACCCCGCTGTGCTTTCACACAATCCAGCTTGGCTGCAACTGTGTGTGAGATGAGCTGGTCACCAAGACTCTCTAAGCCAAAAAACAAGTAATAATGAGTTGTTTTAAGCTGCCAAGTTTTGGGGATGGTTTCTTCAGAATAGATAACTGGAACAGAATATTGTAGCTGGAAATGAGCCGCTGTGGTAATCAGAAGCTACAATATGTGCCACGACTGTGAGGCTGACCTGTAACTGGGCCTCAAGGAGACCATTCATGCAACCTGGAAGGGCATCAAGACTCTTGGTCAGGGCCTGAAAGACGGTGAGAAAATGTCATTGGAAACTGGGGAAAAGGCCTGAGAGTTATGTGCTGAGGGACTGTGAGAAAACTATGGCCACAACATGGAAACTGAAAGGGCACTGCACCATCTCAGGGATCTGCCTAAGGAGACATCTGGGAAGAACATGGAAAGTGCTATCAGCCTCCCCTAACTGTCACTGAATAAACATGACAGGAGAGGGACATGATCTAAAGAAGGAAGTTCAGTTTTCCAACAAAATTTAGAGAAAATATAAAGAAATAATTTCTTGTCTCAAAAGGCCAAAGAAAAAAAAAAAGAAAAGAAAAAAAAATTATAAAGAAGCCATTGAATACCCTATTGACCATAAGAAAAAGGCAGAGAAAGTTGGTCAACGGCAACCCAGGCACTGAAGGAAAAAGAACATGGAGAATGACAAAAGCCCAGAGGGAGGAGTAAAAGGACACAAACGCCGTTCTCAGGGACAAGGACTGGGCGCCGTTCTCAGGGACCTGGACTGGGCACTAATCACAGAACTGTAACAGGCGCCCCATGGGAATGACCAACTGTTAGACGGGGCCTGCAGGGCAGCACCTCCCTCCTGCCTCCCACCAACAGCTTCTAAAGGGAAATGCCGACTGTTTTCACACCAGTCCCCTCACTGCGGCTGAGTGTGTGGGCACAGATGATAGGTCACAACAACCTGATTCAGTCCTCACTGTGGCTGAGTGCGTCAGGGGCAGACGACAGGCCACCACAACCTGATTCAGTCCTCACTGTGGCTGTGTGTGGGGGGGCAGATGACAGGCCACCACAACTTGATTCAGTACTCACTGCGGCTGAGTGTGTGTGGGTGCAGGTGACAGGCCACCACAACCTGATTCAGGATTCAGTTGGGCTACCAGCCAGTGCCATAAGGAAAACCATTCTGGGACTCTTGAGAGGGGCAAAGCATAATTTGCATGTGGGAGAAACGTTAGTAGTTTGTGGCCAGAGGACAAACTGTGGTTTATTAAAGACTGCTGCAGGTTCCTACTATGCTTCTCATCAAGAGGTGGAATCTAATCACCTTCCCCCCTTGAATCATGGCTGGTCTCAGTGATGAGTACGACTGGACAGTGTGGCAGGAGAGATGCTCTGGGACTTCTGAGGGATGATCATGAGAGACCTTACAGCTTCTGCCTGGGCCTCTTGGACACATACACTGGGAGAAGCCAGACAAACCTGACTACCTGACACTGCCAGACTGGGAGGAAGTCCGTGCTGGCCACAAAGAGAGGGCTTGGTGCCTGCTCCATGTCCCCAGCCACTAGAGTCCTTCTGGTGTCTGCTTCACGTCCCCAGCCACTAGAGTCCTTCCAGATGAGACCAGGGACATCATGAAGCAGCCAACCCACATTGCCCTGTCCAGTGTCTTGACCCAGAAAATTGTGACATGTGAAAAGAATAAATTCCTGGTTTAAGCCAGTAAGGTTACTGGTACATTGTTACATTGCAGATAATTAAAACCTTGAAAAACTCATGAGAGATCCCAAGTAAAACCTTGATCTGAAACATGGCATGTGGCGATTTATATTGAGTATTAGGTTAAAAATGCAAGATTGGAGAATAGTTAATATTTTACGTGAAAGCTAAAACTATAATTGCCCACTTAAAATTTTCAGTTAATTAGGTTGTCACTTTTTGTTTTTAACCAAGAAATCAACTAGTTTTAGTCCATAAACAGTTGGAACTGATGCACACATCCGTTTTTCCTTACTCATTTTAAGCAGCTATCTGAAATAGGAAGTGTAATATAATCTTTAAAGAATCTGAAAATATGACAGAAATGTTTAAACTATAAACATATATTGTAAATGTTAGCATATTATATACATTGCATATTAACATAAGCTAAAATCATTGATATAAACTTATATAAACAAAAGGTAGAAAATATGACAATGTTCTTCTTGTTTTTTGTCTTTGCATATTTCTTTATTGGCCCTTGTCAAACGTGACCCACTAAGTCCTGAATGCTTTCTCTCTCCCCATGGATTCCTAAGGATGTCACCACAGTGCTGGCCAGATGCACAGATCACAGGTGACTGAACCTCATCACCCCATGAACACACCCTTCAGGTTTTGCCAAGAATGACACTGTAAATATGACAAAGCTTCTGTGCTTGTTAGTGAACACCAATTCAGCTTCTCTCCTGTATTTGGAAATCAGGATGAGATGAAAACAAGCAGGCCAGGCACGGTGGCTCACGCCTGTAATCCCAGCACTTTGGGAGGCCGAGGCGGGCGGATCACCTGAGGTCGGGAGTTCGAGACACCCTGATCAAAACAGAGAAACCCCATCTCTACTAAAAATACAAAATTAGCCGGGCGTGGTGGCACATGCCTGTAATACCAGCTACTCAGGAGCTGAGGCAGGAGAATTGCTTGAACCCAGGAGGTGGAGGGTGCAGTGAGCTGAGATCACACCACTGCGCTCTAGCCTGGGCAACAAGAGCGAAACTCTGTCTCAAAAAAAAAAAAATAAAAATAAAAGAACAAGGAAACAAAAGCAACAAGGCTTGACACCAGATGAGCCTGAATCTAAGCAAGAAAAGCCCAGAAGAAATCCCATTTTGGGTCACTGGCTGCATGGTAGTAATGCCATACACATAAGGAAGAGAAGAGGATGTGGCTTTCACTTCGAATTTTTTGAGCTTAAGGTAAATTTGGATAGCTACAAAGAAGCATTCAACAGAGAGTTAAACCTATGATGGAAAGACTGAAGAGGTCCAAGCTGTAGAGAAACAGGACTGCAAACCACAAAGGGCTGAATCAGTCAAGGAGAACTGCAGGGCAAGATGAACAGGGACCAATGGAACATTTGGATAAGCTGTTGAGAAGAAAGGAGAATTCAGAGAAAAAGAACTGTCAGTGAGGTCATAATAGGAACTGTTACAGTGAACTAAATATGGCCTGGGAAGGACTCTGTACTTCTAGATTTGAGTCCCTGTGGACAAACTGCAACCTAACTTAATAGGTAGAAAGACTGAAAACGTAACTTAGGAGTATGTGCCTAAAACAGTAGCTGAGTCCTGGCCAATCCCAACAGCCAAACTTCTGCCACTCACACACTGCTGAGTGTTCAGCTGTGTTCAAATAAGGCAAATGCTGAGCACTGTAACCAGTCCAGTTGTTTCTGGACCTCACTGCTGAGAACTGTAATGGACCCAGTTGCTTCTAGACCTCACTCCTCACTTCAGATTTTTGTACATCATGTTCCCTTTATTGTCTATAAATCTTCCACCATGTGTCTGTGCTGGAGTCTCACTGAATCTGCTGTGATTCTGGGGGCTGCCTGATTCGTGAATCATTCATTGCTCAATTAAGCTCCTTTAAATTTAATTCAGCTGAAGATTTTCTTTTAATAGATGGTGTCAGAAGTGGGATCCGTGGGAGCAGGACTGCTAGGGCCTCTGGAGCTATACTGTGGTGAGCAGTGTTGCTAAGACTTCTAATGACCCCCAGAGTGCTGAGGTACAAGGAAGGAACCTGAAAGGACCCATTTGTGATGGCAGCAGTGGCCCACGTGGAGCAGTTGCTATGGAGACACTGGCTGCAGTGGGGAGGAGTGGCTGGGGCTGTGCACTCCTCAAAGCTGGTGGGAGCCAGGAATGGGTGGGAGACCTGCCCCTTCTAAATTATCAGGCAGGAGCCCCACCCTCCCAGGCACAGCTGCAGCCATCCAGCCATGACTGCAAACCCGGGCATCTCTGCACTCTCAGAGGCCCAGCAAGCCCCCCTGCCCCGCAGGCTCAGTTGTACCTGGTCCTGCCACCTGGCGTCTCTCTGCTTCCAGAGCCCACTCCAAATTCAGATCCAAGTTGAGGCCAAACCTGGGCACAGTCACAACCTGGCCTGGTTTGCGCAAGCTCAGGGCAGTGCTGACATGCCAGCCCCCTGCCACCTCGGCCCCCTCCAGAATTTGGGCACTGGCAAGCACAGGAGGGAGGCTGAGGTGGGGCTAAGAGTGGCTCAGCAGTGGCCGGAAGGCCCTCCTCAGCTCGAACGCCTGGGCACTATGGGCACAGCTACCCACCGTGCGTCTCCTCTCAGCTGCTGAGAGCTGAACAGACGTTGGGATGACCTGCCTGCAGAAAGGAGCTACCCACTGCAGGTCTCCTCTGAGCCGTACTGTGGCTCAATAAAGCACCTCTTCACCTTGCTCACCTTCTACTTGTCCACATACCTCATTTTTCCTGGACTCAGGACAAGAACTCGGGACCTGCCAACTAGCAGGGCTGAAAGAGGTGTAACATAAACAGGGCTGAAACGCGCTCCTTTCTTGCCAAATTGCAGGCAAGAAGAAGAGAAGAGAGAAGGAGAGAAGAGCTGTGTCCCTTCAGGGAACACACACCTAGGAGCTCCTCCAACCAGGGCTGTGACACCTTCTTTGGGGCTCTGCAGGTCCTGCATCTCCAAGCTTCTGGGTGCCACTGCATTCCCTGATACCCACAGTGGAAGCTGTTTGCAGTCGGCCTGGTCCAGCTGCAGCCTCACAGGGAGCTGGCACCTGTGCCTGGAGCTGCCCACCCCACTGCAGCTGGCATGCTTGGCTGTGTGCAGTGGCAGATCCCATGCTCGCTTGCTCACACACCCCTCACTGCTCTGTACCCAGCTCGCCCTTGGCAGGTGTGGGATCCAGACCACTAGCATGAGCTGAGTGGACAGAACTAACCCAGTGGGCCCGAGCAAAACACAGGTAAAGGTGCCACCAGCCAGAGGTTTCAGGCAGAAAAGTGACACCTCAGGATTCTGTAACACTTGTGTCCTTTGATCTCTCTGAGCAGCTGGGGATCATGGTAAATTTTCTCTCGGATTTCAGAGCTCCATGGATTTGTGTTTTGAGCTCTGAGTTTCTTTGAGCAAATTTCTGTTCCAAACTGCTATCCAGCCATGACTGGCTGGATGTTTTAGAAGTTATGACAGAAAACGGACCGGGTCCAGGATCAGATTTGATCCAGTAGTTAATTGGCTTGAATCCAGTTCCAGTTAGAGGCCTCCTACATCTGACTGGGTCAGAAGGAAAGTGGTAGTAAATGATAATATTGGAAGATTGTAACATTTGGCTTTTGAAAATTCACAGGGATTTTTGTGTTCTACCCCTTTGTTTCATTTTTCTCGCACGGTTAGGCAGGAAAAAAAAATCATTGGCTAAGTTAATGAAGGGAACCTGGGAGTAAAGCCAATATTTTAGGTAAAAATAGGATCCTTAATTTCTGGAAAACTAAGCTCCTTCTGGCTAATACATTAGGCCTGGGAAGCAGCAAAGTCTTACAGAAATGGCAAAATCTTATTAAGATAACTTACAGTGGAACATTCCAAATGAATAATGCCCTGAAGTGCATTTAAAAATGAGGGTTCCCAAATTAGTCTCATCTAGGGATGCCTATTAATATGCAGAAGCTTCTAAAAAGATTTAGAGATGGCACCGCCCATCTGGGAGCAAGTTTGAGTCTTACCAGTTTGATACTGGGTGCTGAGCAAAGTGGCACGTGTCTATGTTTTGTCACATGTATTTTGCTCTGGGCAGAATGAAAAATGTTAATTTGGTTACTCCAAGCAACCCCTTGGGCAGCATCTTGCAAAGCTGAGAGGATTCTTCCTGTGATTCCATGATTTTCCATTGTGATGCAGCTTGGCCCCCAGAGCTATAATGTGGTGAGGAGGGTGACAGAGCAAGACGCAATCTTTAAAAAAAAAAATGGCCAGGTAGAGTGGCTCATGCCTGTAATCCCAACACTTGGGGAGGCTGAGGCAGGTGGATCACCTGAGGTCAGGAGTTCAGGGCCAGCCTGACCAACAAGGAAAAACCCCATCTCTACTAAAAACACAAAATTAGCTGGGCATGGTGGCACATGCCTCTAATCCCAGCTACTCAGGAGGCTGGGGAAGGAGAATCGCTTGAACCCGGGAGGCAGGGGGTTGCAGTGAACCGAGATCACACCATTGCACTCCAGCCTGGGCAACAAGAGGGAAAATCCATCTGAAAAAAAAAAAAAAAGAAAGAATAATAGGTTTGTCTATGAGGTTTTATGAAAAAGTGGGTGACATTTGGCTTTCTCACTTTAAAGAAGATGTTCAGGTAATATTAAAAAATAATGAAAAATTTGTTTGCCTTTTAAATAAACTACCAAAAAAAAAAAAAAAGGAAAAACAAGAGGCAGATCGTTTGTGAAGATGTCTTCCCTCTATCAATGAGTAAAGATTTTTGCCCTTTAAAACTTTTTTAAGTCATGATTTTAAGTAAATGAATGACTTACGGTGACCTGGAATTCTATTTCATAACATCAAGTGTTTAAACTTTTAATATATTTAATAGGCTTCCCAAAATCAAATTTCAACTTCAAAATTGTCTTTTCTGACCTCTAACTTTGGGATACTACAGAGGCCCTTGAAGCACCCAAAAGAGAGGTAAACAGGACTATTTAACATGTTAAGTCACATGGGTAGCACTGTCAAAATAAAACATAATGTTGAACCTTTTTCAGGTTATATTTAGTTTATGTCATCAACCCGTTCTAAAATTGTATAGGATTTCTAAAATTCTTTTTTTTTTTTCCCCTGAGACGGAGTCTTGCTCTGTCACCCAGGCTGGAGTACAGTGGCACAATCTCGGCTCACTGCAACCTCCGCCTCCTGGGTTCATGCCATTCTCCTGCTTCAGCCTCCCGAGTAGCTGGGACTACAGGCATCCACCACCATGCCAAGCTAATTTTTGTATTTTTAGTAGAGATGGGGTTTCACCGTGTTAGCCAGGATGTTCTCATCTCCTGACCTCGTGATCCTTCCACCTTGGCCTCCCAAAGTGCTGGGATTACAGGCGTGAGCCACTGCACCTGGCCAGGATTCTAAAATTCTAATATGCCTATATGCTATCTATCATAATTACCTGTTTTGTTTGTTTTGAGACGGAGTTTCGCTCTTGTCACCTAGGCTGGAGTGCAATGGTGTGATCTAGGATCACTGAAGCCTCCACCTCCTGGGTTCAAACATTTCTCCTGCCTCAGCCTCCCAAGTAGCTGGGATTACAGACAACTGCCACCACATCCGGCTAATTTTTTTTATTTTTAGTAAAGACAGAGTTTTACCATGTTGGCCAGGCTGGTCTCAAACTCCTGACCTCAGGTGATCCACCTAACTTGGCCTCTCAAAGAGCTGGGATTACAGGAATGAGCCACCACATCCACCCTAATTATGGTTATTAAGTTATTGTAGACCACAGAAATAACCAAATTTCCTTATCAATTGTCTTTAACTATAACTATTTAAAGTCATTTCCACAGTTAATTGCTTAATGATGATGCAGTTTCTAAAAACTTCACAAGCATGCAAAATTCTAGAATAGAAGATTCATGAAAGAATGAAAAGGACCATGAAAAACACTCGGGAACACAGGTTTCTAATAACTTTAATATCATGGGTAAAAATTCCCCATAAGTTCCCCGATCCCCCAATAATTGGACTGGTGAAGAATTCTCAAAAGTTAGGCTGGGTGCAGTGGCTCATGTTGGCAATCCCAGCACTTTGGGAGGCTGAGGCCGGTGGATCACTTGAGGTCAGGAGTTTGAGACCAGCCTGGCCAATGGTGAAACCCCACCTCTACTAAAACTACAAAAATTAGCCGGGTGTGGTGGTATGCATCTGTAATCCCAGCTACTCGGGAGGCTGAGGCAGGAGAATCACTTGAACCCAGGAGGCGGAGGTTGCAGTGAGCCAAGATTGTGCCACTGCGCTCCAACCTAGGTAACAGAGTGAGACTCTGTCTCAAAAAAAAAAAAATCCAAAAGTTTAATAAGAAGACCAACTGGTTTATAAAACTGCTAACCCAAGTAAAACAAAAACTGAATATCAAGGAAATATTTTCCAGATTTGCATGCTAAATCACCAATATTGAAATTGTTTAGATATATAATTTAAATAAACTCCATGGTCTAAGCCAAATTACCTATAACTCATCAGTTACCAGTGCCATGCACCTAATTTGAAGAAACAGCTGGTATTCAAGAGGATGTAAGTCTAATGTTAATTAAGCACGGACTTATGAATAACCAGGATGGCCACCTTTCCGTCTTAAGTCCTTAAAACTTTTGTTATTAAAAGTTCTGCATTCCATAACTCATCATGGAAAGAGAAAATGATCCAAATTAAATATATTGCTGTGGTGATCTCTAAATTGCTAAAATAGTTTATAATCAATGTTTGGTATGTCGAACCTATATTCCTAGGAAAACAATCAAAACTTCAGGTGCATTTGGTTACCTGATGGGCCATTTAAACATTTTATAAAGGGATTTCATTCAGTTGTCATTTTCAGTGCATGTTTTCTGATTGTAAAAAAGCTCTTCCATGCAAGAGGGTTGATGTTAAAACAGTAGATTATTATGCTGAAGTGTATTTTCACCAGATAAAGAAAGCCTTTTATGGTTCACAGAGGACAGCCAACCCCTTCACAATCTAGAATCTGATGACTGGATCTTCTGAGAACATCAGAGGACTGCCCTTGCCATTCACATGACAGCAAAACTTTAAAACCTTAAACTTTGGGTTCATAGTCTTACAACTCAGAAGGGTCCCTCCACACTTGGAACCATACACCCCTTGGAACCCTTAAGGTAAAGCTAACAAGGACAGTTCCCCCCCAGAAGAAGATGGCATCCTTAATGTGAACAGCTTTTCCCAAGATCACAGATCAAGACTTCTCTACTATCATGAGACTCTTATCTTAAGTATCTGTGCAGCTGCTAACATGGCATATGGAGAAAACATCGGGTATTATAAAGATTTGGTTGTAGGGAATTAACAAAAAGACCCACTTAGTTAAGCAAGTAAACTCTTTATCTAATTCATTCTTTAATCTATTTGATTTTAGGTGGTTTGATTTATGGGGACCCTGAGTAAGGAGCATATACCAAATTCTTGGTGTTATCCCAATAGTCATAAGAGTCTCCCTGGTGCACTGTACTTACTCAAATGTTTTAAGAGTTTGCATGCAGCCATCTCTAAAATGTCAAATGGTATCTCTTCAACTGGAATGACAACAGATTAAAAAAATGTGCAATCATAAGGACACCGTAACCTATGAGTGACATGCTAAACCAGAAACCCAAAACAATGGGAGTGACATGCTAAACCAGAAACCCAAAACAATGGGACTGATGTACTAAAACCGGAACCCAAAACAATGGGAGTGATGTACTAAAACCAGAACCCAAAACAATGGGAGTGACGTGCTAAACCAGAAACCCAAAACAATGGGAGTAACATGCTAAAACCAGAACCCAAAACAATGGGAGTGACGTGCTAAAACCATTACCCAAAACAATGGGAGTGATGTGCTAAACCGGAAACCCAAAACAATGGTAACTAAGAGTGGGGCTAAGGCCCTACATTTTGGTCACACTCTCAACTAAGTGAGAACTTGACTGAAAAGGAGGATTTTTTTTTTTCTGAGACAGAGTCTTGCTCTGTCCCCCAGAGTGGAGTGCAGTGGCATGATCTCGGCTCACTGCAAGCTCTGCCTCCCGGGTTCAGGCCATTCTCCTGCCTCAGCCTCCTGAGTAGCTGGGACTACAGGCACCCGCCAGCATGCTTGGCTATTTTTTTGTGTATTTAGTAGAGATGGGGTTTCACCGTATTAGCAAGGATGGTCTCAATCTCCTGATCTCGTGATCTGCCCACCTCGGCCTTCCAAAGTGCTGGGATTACAGGCATGAGCCACCGTGCCCAGCCAAAAGGAGGAATTTTTTAAGCAAAATTATGGGAGGCCATTGTTTTGAACTAAGCTCATGCAATAGGTCCCAACAGAACAAACCAAACCAAAATGGAGTCACTCATGCTAAATGGAACATAATCAAACTAAGACTTTAAGGAAACACATAAATCCTAGAACAAACCAGGTTTTGTTTTTCTCCTGTAAACAGGATGTTCCAGCATAAGAAGACAACTTCTACTCAAGTCCTTGTTCCACCTTTTCAAATCTCACTGTTCTATTTCCCAGTGGGTTTCTAAACCAAATAAGTACATTTGCAAGGGTAATAGTGACACCAGTGACTGAAGTTTTGGCCAATCTCTCAAAATTGAGAAAATAACCAAAGGGAAGGCATTGTTAAAGTGAACTAAGTATGTCCTGAGAAGGACTCCATAATTATATATATGAGTCCTTGTGGGTGACCTGCAACCTATCTTAATAGGTAAACAAGAATGAAAACCTAACTTGAGTGTATGCACCTCAAACAACAGCTACATCTTGGCCAATCCCAATGGCCAAACTTCAACCACTCAGGCACTGCCAAATGTTCAAACTGTGCTCAAACAAGGCAAACGCTGAGTTGTTTCTGTACCTCACTTCCGATTTCGGTATGCCACTTCCCTTTTGTCTACAAATCTTCTTCCACCACATGACTGTGCTGGAGTCTCTGTGAATCTGCTGTGATTCTGGGGACTTTCCGATTCATGAATCGTTTATTGCTCAATTAAACTCCTTTAAAGTTTTTCTTTTAACAGAACTAACACGGAAGAATTTCCAGATCATGAACAGATGTTTTGTAATACCCAACGTTGTATTAACATGAATAGACTCTTCCTTAGATAGCTAACCTTGTTTTTAATATGAATAGACTCTCCCTTAGCTGAGAAAACCAGACAAACTCCATTTGGCTCCTTCATTTACAAGACATCAAGGGCTCCTTACCCACCCCCTTTCCTCAAGGACTTTAACTTGTGCAAGCTGATTTTCAACATATCAAAGAGTGCAATTAACTGATAAAGTGCTGAGGCAAGTGATGTCCGCAGTTCCCAGCAAATTACTCAGAGATAATATCATAAAGCCCCCACATTTGTCTGGAAGATAATGCCCAGAGCCCCCTCACTCATCACTTTGTGGTGAATTTAAAGCCTCTGCACCTGGAACAGTTTGTTTTCCTGTAACCATCTGTCTTTTTAAGTTTTTTGTCTGTTTTTTCTTCTGTAAGTTTATTGCAGCTGGAATCCCCCCTCCCCTCTCTAAACCAATGTATAAAAGAAAATCTAGCCCATTCTTTAGGGCCGAGAGTATTTCCTGTGTTAGCCATCTCTCAGTCACCAGCTAATAAAGGACTCCTGAATTCGTCTCAAAGTGTGGCATTTCTAACTCGTTTGGGTACAACAGTTTCAACTATGGTAGAAGACTCGAGTAAGACAAATACAGCCCCCCTAAATTTGACTATTATTTAGGTTAATGGTGAGTTTAGAAGAAATAAGTTAAGACTACACAGAGTGGGCTAAATTGCAAATAAACACTGAAAATATTTCCCAGAAAATATGACTTTGAACAGGCTGCTGCACACCCTGCATGTAGAGATAAACTAAGAAAAATGTGTGGAGAGTTATTTAAGGACCTGTGGTTAACTCAGTCCTCAAGATGTTCTGGGTTTCATCCATGAGTCAAGGAGGACCTCCCAAAAGCTGTTTGGGACCACACTCTTTGAGCAAGGAGCATACCTTATGATGGAAGCTGTGCTTTAGCAGCAGATGACCATTTCCACTGCACAACACGCCGTGCTTTAGCAGACGATGACCATTTCCACTGTACAACATGCTGTGCTTTAGCGTCAGATGACCATTTCCACTGCACAACACGCCATGCTTTAGCGGAAAATGACCATTTCCACTGCACAACACGCCATGCCTTAGCGGAAGATGACTGTTTCCACTGCACAACACTACAAGTGCTTACTGCCAGACCGGTGTGAAATATGTTCCAGCACATAATCTATGTCACCAATGAAGGTGGTGGTTAAGACTTGGTGCACACAAGCTTTCCTGTCCCACAAGAACACAGCATGCTCTCTTTTCGGGTTCCATTCCAATCACGTAAGAAACATGACTGCCTTTTTTGTTTCGGCATCAGAAAGATCAGAGGAAACTTTGCACTCAACTTAGACAACTCTAAGCTTTTATAACCTGTCTATATCTACAGGTCAGCTTTATCTTATTTATGTATATTTCCTTCAACCTGAGTTTTACTTATTTCCACTTTTCCTTTTTAATTCACAGACACCCATAAACTCAGAAAATACAGTGTAAAACAAAGTGAAGAACAAATAAACAACTCACCAGAGATTTATTCGTTTCTTGTTGCTCTTGGAAACACCCAGAGGACACTGGAAACATAGCTGGAAGAGAAGGCAAATGACGTCGATTAAGGAGAGAACTGGTGAGGTGTGGTCCCAGATTCTTCTGCCCAACACTCTAGACACATTACCTGGAAAAGCCCTCCTCCCTCCGGAAAAAGAAAAACTTCCCCATGGGAGAAGAGTCCTTCACACCTCATTAGGGGCAGCAGAGACTCAAGTTAAGATAAGATACATCTACAAGTACATTAATTGGTAGACATTAGATGCACAATTTATTTTTGAATAAAAATATGTATTACCTACTAATTTAGTAACAATATTACCTAAAGATATAATCTAATAATTTAATACAAAGAAACATTATAAGTTCACTAAAATAAATGTTATAGAAATATACTGGGCTGTATTAACTATTTTCCTATTAACATGTGGATTCCACAGATAACTTCATATGAGTATTCCCATGACAGTACATCTTGCTTTTCTATACCTGAACATCATGGAAAGTGCATCTTGCAACCCAGTAATTTTGGCCTACGTTTTTTAAAATGTACATAATATGTATTTCCTGCAGTACACCATTCTACTCATGTTTCCCAATAACACCTTTCCCTGTATCCAAGCCCTCATATTATGCTCTGACAATAAATTGGGCTTTTCCATCTGACTTGTCCAGTGAATGGACAATGGAAAATGTGATGCAAATATCCATTGGTTCTTGCCTTTTTGGACACAGTCATATTGTGAAGAGGTCTGGAGCTACCCTGTTGGAGACACAGGGCCTAGCCAAGAGTCACCACAAACCACCAGATTGTGAAGGAAACTATCTTAAACCAACCAGGCTCAGTCAAGGCACCAGGTGACTAAGGCCTGTTTTGTGATCCAGGCAACACAAATATATCAACTACCCAGCTGAACCCACCACACCAAAATGCAGATCCACAGAACTTCAAACAAATAAAATGGTGGTTGTTTTTTATAAGCTAGTAAGGTTTAATTAGTTCCTTAAACAGCAAATATTAACTGTTACACCTAAGTGAATAGAATTCAATATGTTTTTAACGAAATTATGTAGGGGGAGAAAGTCTTAAATTACAAATCAAATGCAATCAATAGAACTTCACAATCTATGCTAAATTTGGTGATGGACTAGGTTTAATATATCTCAGACACTGGAAACAACAAGCTAAGTTTGAAGGAATGGGACTGTATTTGGAGAGTATTTCAATCTTTTCAAGTATGACAGGTCACTCCTGCACCCCAGACCACACTTTCAGGCCCCTTCAAATAAGGAATATTTCCTAGGTCCTTGCCTGTTCTTCTCAGCTGAATTCACCTCAACCTTCTGAAAGTTCTTCCAAACCTTCCACTATCACCTAGTCTTTGAAAATCTTGTGCATTCTAGGGAGTAGAATTAATATTTCCTGAGCGAGGAAAACTGGGATCTTCACCTGCGACCTTTTATCCTCCTCTGAAGCACCAGTGAGAAGTTAGACCAGAGGGCTGTTCTTTCAAGTGCGCTTCTTATTCATAGGGAACCCTCCCTTTCAAACTTTATAACACACAGTGAAGACTGAAGTACCCTTAAGGCTGAAGACCATCATCCAGTACCCCATCTCCCTCGCGGAATCAGTGAGTTCCTCCATGGAAACTAGGTCTCGTATAAACTTCCATAAATGCAATCCAGGAGGACTAGGCAGGTCACACAGTGAAGGAGGGAACCAGAAACTTCACTTGTTAAATAGACACCAGGAAACCCAACTAATACAAACGCCCAGCTTGAGACTAGAGGCACACGCATTTCGCACTACTACTCTGGGAATGGGGAACGTCTCCCGAGAACTGTGTGTTAGCACGGGGACAGATGGGCAAACTGAGCTACATGAGGGTTGGTAACCGGGTCCCTCAGTGGCAGGACAGGAGCGCGGCCTGCAGACTCCGGGCCCAGGGCCACCAGCCTCGCCTACCCACTCCTGCGCCTCTGGAACCCGCTTCACTGCTGGGACCCCACGTCTGTCCTCCCAGCCCCCGCCAGGGTCCACGGCCCGCAAATGCACGTCAGGCCCCTCCTGCCCGCGATGCGCCCACGCGTCTGCCCCCACAAATGGGGAACACTGGTCTGGCCCCCCGGGATCCCCCGAGGCCCACAGGTTCCTCTTCGCCCTCGCACCTACCTACAGGGACATAGAACCAAGCCCCAGGCCTGCTCAGCTACACGACCGCCGCTGGGATCCGCACTTCCGGAGGAAAATGGCGAAGTGGGCGGGGCGGCGCATGCGCAGAGAGAAAAGCTGGTTCCCAAGGTCCTTGATGGTAACATCATTGGAAGGTGACACTACATTTCCTATGAGGCTCTGCGGTCCCCCGTTAGGAACGCACGCCGGACATTCTGTTTTGCCCAGCAGTGAGTCCAGTTACCCGGAGACCCGGAGTTAATGGATCAGGACTGGTCCCTACCCACGTGACACAGATGTGGCATTCTGGTTCGTTATTAAATCCTGGTTTCACAGCCTGGGACATTGTGAAAATAATGGAGAAATTCCAATAGAAACCAATTGGTCTATGCTGTTAATGAGTAACTTTTTTTTTTTTTGAGATGGAGTCTCGCTCTGTCACCCAGGCTGGAGTGCAATGGTGCGACCTTCGCTCACTGCAAACTCTGCCTCCCAGGTTCAAGAGATTCTCCTGCCTCAGCCTCCTGAGTATCTGGGATCACAGGCGGGCGCCACCACACTCACCTAATTTTTGTATTTTTAGTAGAAACGGGGTTTCACCATGTTGGTCAGGCTGGTCTCTAACTCCTAACCTCGTGATCCGCCCTCCTAGGCCTCCCAAAGTGCTGGGATTACAGGCGTGAGCCACCGCGCCCAGCCCTCAAGTCTATTTTTCATAGATGCATTCGAAAGCATGAAAAAAATCATGTCTCTATTTTACTTTAAATTTTTAAAAACACAACTAATGAATATGGTAATTCTCTTCCAATCTGTTATCTTTTATCTCACGAAACTAATTTGTGAGCTTTCAATTTACACAGTTAGAAAAAAATGCTCTAGTGTATATACTAGGATAAAATAACAGGGTCATAAGACAAGTGCACTCCATAATCTTTGTGACAACTTACACTTCCAGTGTCTGATGAACATTTGCCCATAAACTCCCACGTTTCATCCATCCATCCATCAATCAAATCTACCTATCTTTATTTATTTATTGTGCGAAATACCTGAACTTTGCCTTTCCTTCCCTGATTTCTGCCACAAACTAGGCAAGGAGTTCTGCCTAGGGGTTTTTCAGAGCTCCGGCTACCACCGAGGTTCCTAACAGGGAAATTCCCAGCTTGAATGCTTGGGGTTGATGTGGGAGTGCGTGTGAAACGGGTGTGGGGTGAAAGGGCAGTGAACTTTGTAGGTGGGTAGATGGGGGTGTGAAGGGCTTTCAGGTAAGAGGCACAGAGGAAACTGGGAGAGGCAGCGAAAGCACTTCACGCCTCAGATCACCAGAAGATGCTCCCACCAGCACCATGACAGTTTGCCAGTGCCATGGCAACACAGGAAGTCCCCACCCCTTGCCATGGAAACAGCTGGAAGTTACTGCCCATTTCTAGCTATTTCTGAGTAACCCGCCCCTTAATTAGCATGTCATTAAAAGTGAATTATAAAAATGACTACAAGCCACCCCTAGGCTGCTACTCTGGGAGCACAACCCACAGAGGGCTCCCTGCCCTGCAGGAGCGGACGCAGGGCTGTAACACCGCCAATGCCTCCATAGAGCTGCTTTATTCCACCACAGGCTTGCTTTTGGATTCCTTCCTGAGCGACGCCAAGAACCTGCCCTTCCTCAGTGTGACTCTTGCCTAAAATCTATCCCTGGTTTTCTCTTTTCCTAAGCATGCCCTGACTTGTTCTTTCATCTCCTCTGAACTTGCAATTGCTCCTCAGTGACTCTATTCTGCAGATCCAGAAAACTCAACCTTAATCTTCCCAGAGCCCTGTTGTCTCCAATATTGGAATATCTAGCCTTGCTTTCTCAGACGCCTAGATTACAGGCCTCTCTCTTGAACACCTATTGGTAAGGTATCCGGGGATCCTTTAAATACACGATGATTGGCAGGGTTTACATAGGGGAAATCAGTGCCTGACAATTTGCCTTCCAGGATATGGATTGTCATTCCCTCTCTTTGTGGGCCCCAGTCTCCTATACATAAAAGTAGAGATTGTAATACTCATTTGACTTGCAGATACCTCACCCCGAACCCACCTACTATAATGTAAAAGCCAAGAATGCAAACCCTTTCCTCACCCCGTGAAGGTAAAGTCCTCAGAGCCAAGGAGAGAAGGCTCAGGGATGGTACCTGGGTGTTTCCAACACTAACCATGCATTGTAGTTTTTAGTGTTCAAGTTTAAGCTTCTTATGTTAAAGTTACCCCAGCTTTAATTATATTGTAACAAGATTTATTTTTGTAATTCCATTTTTGGATTCTTGATTTCTTGGTAAAGAAATACAGTTATTTTTGTATACCAATCTTATATAGTGTTACATTCCAAAATTTGTTCATGAGTCCTAACACTTTTTAGTAAATTTCTTATGATTTTCTAAATGCAAGATCATGTCATCTGTACATAAAGATAACTGTACTTCTTCCTTTCCAATCTAGATGCCGTTTATTTATTTACATTGCCAAGTTGTCCCAGCTACCACTGTTATCAAGTAAAAGGGTCTCACTACCCAAAGCTCTAGAAGCCAGTAACATGACACTGAGTTTTTGAGAAGAGAAAAACTTTAAAGTTAAACCAAAACCTATGGGATACAGGCCAGGCGCAGTGGCTCATGCCTGTAATCCCAGCACTTTGGGAGGCCGAGTTGGGTGGATCACAAGGTCAGGAGATCGAGACCATCCTGGCTAACACGGTGAAACCCCGTCTCTACTAAAAATACAAAAAACAAAAATTAGCTGGGCATGGTGGCAGGCACCTGTAGTCCCAGCTACTCGGCTGAGGCAGGAGAATGGCATGAACCCAGAAGGCAGAGCTTGTAGTAAGCCAAGATTGCACCACTGCACTCCAGCCTGGGCAACAGAGAGAGACTCCGTCTCCAAAAATAAACAAAAACAAGAAAACAAAAAACAAACCTATGGGATACAGTAAAAACAGTACTAAGGAGTAAGTTTATAGCAAAAAGCACCTACATCAAAAAAAGTAGAAAAACTTCAAATAAACAACCTAATAATGCATCTTAAATAGTTAGAAAAGCAAGAGCAAACCAAAACCAAAATTAGTAGAAGGAAACATAACAAAGATCAGAGCAGAAATAAATGAAATTGAAATTTAAAAATATAAAATATCAATGAAATGAAAAGTTAATATTTTTTTAAAAGATCAACAAAATCAACAAACATTTAGCCAGACTAAGAGAAAAGAGAGAAGACTCAAATACATAAAACCAGAGATTAAAAAGGAGACACTGCAACTGATACTGCAGAAATTCAAGTAATCATTAGAAACTATTATGACCAACTATATTCCAATAAATTGAAAAACCTGCAAGTCATGGCCAGGCCCCGTGGCTCATGCCTGTAATCCCAACACTTTGGGAAGCCAAGGCAGGTGATCACCTGAGATCAGGAGTTCAAGACCAGCCTGGCCAACATGGTGAAACCCCATCTCTACTAAAAATACAAAAATTAGCCAGGCATGGTGGCGTGCACCTGTACTCCCAGCTACTCCAGAGGCTGAGGCAGGAGAATAGCTTGAACCTGGGAGGCAGAAGTTGCAGTGAGCTGAGATTGTACCAAGCTCCATCCTGGGTGACAGAGCAAGACTCCATCTCAAAAAAAAAAAAAAAAAAACACAACCAAACCACAAACCTAGAAGAACTGGATAAATGAGATTGAACCCATAATAAAACATCTCCTAGCAAAGAAAAACCTGGATCCAATGGCTTCACTGATTAATTTTACCAAACATTGAAGGAAGAATTACTATCAATCCTACTCAAACTATTCCAAAAAACAGAGAAGTCTGTAATATTTCCAAAATCATTTTATGTAAAAGACCATTCATCGTGTCTAAGTGGGATTCATCCCAAGGATGCCAACATGGTTCAACATATGCAAATCAATCAATGTGACACATCATATCAACAGAATGAAGGACAAAAAACATATGATAATTTCAATTGATGCTGAAAAGCATTTAATAAAATCCAACTTCCCTGTGATAAAAAGAAACCCCCAAAAAAACTAGATTTAGAAGGAACATACCACAACACAATAAAAACCATATGCAACAAACCCTCAGCCAGTATCATCCTGAACAGAGATAACCTGAAAGCCTTTCTTCTAAGATCTGGAACAAGGCAAGAATGTCCACTTCCAACAATGTTACTCAACATAGTACTGGAAGTCCTAGCTAGAGCAATCAAGAAAATTGAAAAACAGTAAAGGGCATCCAAATTGAAAGAAGTAAAATTATTATTGTTTTCTTGTTTGCAGGTGATTTGATCTTATATTTGGAAAAACCTAAGAACTCCACCAAAAAACTATCAGAACTGATCAACAAATTCAGTCACACGATACAAAATCAAAATGAAAAAATCAGTAACATTTCTAAATGCCAAAACTGAACAATCTAAAGAAGAAAATCAAGAACGTAATCCCATTTACAATAGCTACAAATAAAATAAAATATCTAGGAATAAATGTAACAAAAGAAGTGAAAGATCTCTACGATGAAAACTATAGAACACCAATGCAAAAAAATTAAAGAAGACACCAAAAAAAAAAATGGAAAGATAGTCCATGTTCATTGATTGGAAGAGTAAATATTGTTAAAATACACATACTTCACAAAGCAATCTACAGACCCAATGCAATCCCTATTGAAATACTAATAACATTCTTCACAGAAACAGAAAAAAAATCCTAAAATTTATATGAAATCATAAAAGACCCAGAATACCCAAAGCCATCCGTAGCAAAAAGAACAAAACTGGAAGAATCACATCACCTGACGTTAAATTATACTACAGAGCAATTGTAAGCTAAACAGCATGGTACTGGCATAAAACAGACACATAGACCAATGGAACAGAATAGAGAACCCAGAAATAAATCCTTACATTTACAACTAACTCATTTTCAATGAAGGTGCCAAGAATATACATGGGGGAGAGGACAGTCTCTTCACCAAATTGTGCTGGGAAAACTAGATATTCATTGGCAGAATTTTTTTTTTTTTGAGATGGAGTCTAGCTCTGTTGCTCAGGCTGCAGTGCAGTGGCGCGATCTGGGCTCACTGCAAGCTCCACCTCCCGGGTTCACACCATTCTCCTCCTCAGCCTCCCAAGTAGCTGGGAGTACAAATGCCCCCACCATGCCCAGCTATTTTTTTTTTTGTATTTTTAGTAGAGACGGAGTTTCACCGTGTTAGCCAGGATGTTCTTGATATCCTGCCCTCATGATCTGCCCACCTCAGCCTCCCAAAGTCATTGGCAGAATAATTAAACTAGAACCCTCTCTTGTGCTATATACAAAAATCAAATCCAAATGGGTTAAAGACTTAAATCAAGGACAAGAAACTACTGAAAGAAAACATTAGGGAAACTCTCCAGGAAATTGGTCTGGGCACAGATTTCTTGAGTAATACTCCAAAAGCTCAGGCAACCAAAGCAAAAATGAACAAATGGTATCACATGAAGTTCAAAAGTTTCTGCATAGTAAAGAAAACAATGGACAAAGTGAAAAGACAATCCATAGAATGGAAGAAAATATTTGCAAACTATATATCTGACAAGGGATTAATAACCAGAATATATAAGGAGTTCAAACAACTCTATAAGAAAAAAACTAATAATCCAATTATTTAAATGGGCAAAAAATCTGAACAGACATTTCTCAAAAGAAGGCATGCAGGTATGGCGCAGTGGCTCACACCTGTAATTCCAGCATTTTGGGGAGCCAAGACAGTTGGACCACTTGAGCCCAGGAGTTCAAGACCAACCTGAAAAACATAGCAAATAATTTTAAAACCTACCTGGGCATGGTGATGCATGCCTGTGGTCCCAGCTACTCAGGAGGCTGAGGTGGGAGGATTGCTTGAACCCTGGTAGTCATAACTACAGTAAGCCATCATTATACCACTGCACTCCAGCCTGGGTGACAGAGTGAGACACTGTCTCAAAAAATGAGCAAAAACAAAAAAGAAGATATATAAATGTCAAATAGGTATATGAAAAGATGCTCAATATCACCGATCATCAGAGAAATTCAAATCAAAACTACAATAAGATATCATCTTACCCCCATTAAAATGGCTTTTATGCAAAAGACAGGCAATAACAAATGCTTGCAAGAATGTAGGGAAAAGAGAACCCTCTTACTCTGTTGGTGGGAATGTAAATTAGTACATTCACTATGGAGAACAATATGGAGGTCCCTCAAAAAATTAAAAATAGAACTATCATATGATACAGCAATCCCACTGCTGGGTATATACCCAAGGGAGGGAAAATTAGTATATGAAAGAGATATCTGCATTCCCATATTTATTTCAGCACTATTCATAATAGCCAAGATTTGGAAGCAACCTAAGTGTGCATCAACAGATGAAGGGATAAAGAAAATGTAGTACATGTACACAATGGAGTACTCTTCAGCCATGAAAAACAATAAGATTGTGTCACTTGCAACAACGTGGATGGAACTAGGGAACATTATGTTAAGTACAATGAGCCAGGCACAGAAAGACTTTGCATGTTCTCACACATTTGTGGGAGTTAAAAATTAAAACAATTGAACTCATCAAGATGGAGAGTAGACTGAGAGTTTCCAGAGGCTGGGAAGAGTAGCGGTGTTATGGGATCTTTGGAGTGTCACTTTTCTGGACAGAAACCTCTATGGCTGGTGGCACCTTTACCTGAGTTTTGCTTGGGCCCCGCCCACTCAGCCTGGCAGGCTGTGCTCAGCTCATGCTACCAGGTTGGATCCCATGTTTGCCAAGGGAGACTGCGTGGAGTGGCAAGGGGTGTGTGAGCAAGCATGGGGTCTGGCCACTGTGCAGTCAGACTTCCTGGCTGCTGCAGTGGGGCAGGTAGCTCCAGGTGCCAACATGGGTGCCAGCTCTCCACAAGTCTGTGGCTGGACCACGGGCACCGCAAGCAGCTTCCGCAGCTGGCACACTGGGAACACAGTGGCACCCGGAAGCTTGGAGATACCAGGAACCACAGGGCCCCAAAGAGGGAATCACAGCCCTGGCTCGGGGAGCTCCCAGGTCTGGGCTTCCCAAAGGGTCACAGCTCTTGTTTCCTTCTCTTTGCCCACAATGTGGCAAGCAAGGGGCATGACTCAGCCCTGTTTGTGTTACAGCTCTTTCAGCCTCTTCCCTAGGATTTGTCATAATTAATTCTCATATTGTCATATTTTTTTACATTTGTTTCAACTTCAGAAGATGCATAGATCTAAACACAACATAATATGTTAGCTAGCTGCCATATGAATTTCTCCGTGTTTCACCACTATGTAGCCTAAAGTTATTCCGTCATCCATGACTATCCTGGCTAAAGAGTCTAAAGATCTTTGTTTGGTAGCTATGGCTTCAGCTAGTTCATTCACTAATTTACCTAGAGTGGTTGACAGATTTCTAATTATACGTTCATGAGAGGTTACTCCCCACCATTGCAAGTGACTTCTGCCAAACATTGGCCAAAATTCACCTCCTTGGTTTGCAGGTATGGTTTGTCTAATCCTGGAAAGTAATTTCGATGAACTACTTCAGTGTTCAGAAACATTGGAGTTATAAATAGAAAGAGGAAGAGTCACATAACCTAATAGACAATTACTTCTCATATGCCAGCGGTCAACACATTCATAAGCCCATGGGTGGTTGATCCAGGGACCACACAGGGTCCCTGACAGACTCTGAAAGTTAAGGCTTTGGTTTACTGGTAACAGAGACAGGTTAAAGTACATGTCTTCAGTCTTGAGTAGAGTGTAATCAGTCTCATTTTTTTTTTAATGAGACAAACATCAGGTAAAGACCTTGACAAGAAGGAAGAGAAATCCCGAGATTCTATAATCATAATAATCGAATTGTAATTGCTAGTTTAAGTAGTCCTTCAAAAATACATCTCATTCCTGACAGGATAAAACAAGTTTTAAAAAATATATTATATTCAGATTCACTAGGGAACACTTGGAGCCAGGAAATAATTCAGGATTCAGCCCAAATTATAGGCAAATAATAAAAACTCTAAAACAATGATCAGGGTTGGAATCTAATAGCATATGTCATAGTTTTCTTTTGGAACATAAATTTTCTCTCTAGTCCATCATTTTATCAAAGACAAATCATAGTAGGACCAATTTTGTATGCAAAATAAGTTTTAGTCTTATCATACCGGGCCTGATTATTTCCATAAAGGGCAGCAAGAATATTTATTGGCCATATAGGCTTCTTAAAATTGGCTTTGTTGGAAATTTTTAATAAGGAATCTTAGACTTTTAAGAGCCTTGAAGCTAGTCAAGTCAAAGATTTGCATCAGACTGTGTCTGTAATAATTTTTTAACCTACTTTTTTAAATTATACTTTAAGTTCTGGGGTACATGTGCAGAACGTGCAGGTTTGTTACATAGGTATATATATTCTGCGGTGGTTTGCTGCACCCATCAACCCATCACCTATAATAAGCATTTCTCCTAATGCTATCCCTCTCCCTGCCCCCACCCCCCAACAGGCCCCAGTGTGTGATGTTCCCCTCCCTGTGTCCATGTGTTCTCATTGTTCAACTCCCACTTATGAGTGAGAACATGTGGTGTTTGGTTTTCTGTTCTTGTGTTAGTTTGCTGAGAATGATGGATTCCAGCTTCTTCCATGTCCCTGCAAAGGACATGAACTCATCGTTTTTTATGGCTGCATAGTATTCCATGGTGTATATGTGCCACATTTTCTTTATTCAATCTATCATTGATGGGCATTTGGGTTGGTTCCAAGTCTTTGTTATTGTGAACAGTCCTGCAATAAACATACATGTGCATGTGTCTTTATAGTAGAATGATTTATAATCCTTTGGGTATATACCCAGTAATGGGATTGCTGGGCCAAACGGTATTTCTAGCTCTAGATCCTTGAGGAATAGCCACACTGTCTTCCACAATGGTTGAACTAATTTACACTCCCACCAACAGTGTAAAAGCCTTCCTATTTCTCCACACTCTCTCCAGTATTTGTTGTTTCCTGACTCTTTAATTTTCGCCATTCTAACTGGCATGAGATGATATCTCATTGTGGTTTTGATTTGCATTTCTCTAATGACTAGTGATGATGAGCTTTTTTATAAGTTTGTTGGTTGCATAATTGTCCTCTTTTGAGAAGTGTCTGTTCACATCCTTTGCCCACTTTTCAATGGGGTTGTTTTATCTTGCAAATTTGTTTAAGTTCTTTGTAGATTCTGGATATTAGCCCTTTGTCAGATGGATAGACTGCAAAAATTTTCTCCCATTTTGTAGGTTGCCCGTTCACTCTGATAGTTTCTTTTGCTGTCCAGAAACTCTTTAGTTTAATTAGGTCCCATTTGTCAATTTTGGCTTTTGTTGCCTTTGTTTTTGGTGTTTTAGTCATGAAGTCTTTGCCCATGCCTATGTCCTGAATGGTATTGCCTAGGTTTTCCTCTACGGTTTTTATGGCTTTAGGTCTTATGTTTAAGTCTTTAACCCACCTTGAGTTAATTTTTGTATAAGGTGTAAGGAAGGGATCCAGTTTCAGCTTTCTGCCTATGGCTAGCCAGTTTTCCCAACACCATTTATTAAATAGGGAATCCTTTCCCCAGCGCTCGTTTTTCTCAGGTTTGTCAAAGATCAGATGGTTGTAGATGTGTGGTGCTATTTCTGAGGCCTCTGTTCTGTTCCTTTGATCTATATATCTGTTTTCGTACCAGTACCATGCTGTTTTGGTTACCATAGCTTGTAGTATAGTTTGAAGTCAGGTGGCATGATGCTTCCAGCTTTGTTCTTTTTGGTTAGGATTGTCTTGGCTATTCAGGCTCTTTTTTGATTCCATATGAAATTTAAAGTATATTTTTCCAATTCCGTGGAGAAAGTCAATGGCAGTTTAATGGGGATAGCAGTGAATCTATAAATTACTTTGGGCAGTAGGTCACTTTCACGATACTGATTCTTCTTATCTATGAGCATGGAATGATTTTCCATTTGTTTGTGTCCTCTCTCATTTCCTTGAGGAGTGGTTTGTAGTTCTCCTTGAAGAGGTCCTTCACATCCTTGTAAGTTGTATTCCTAGGTATTTCATTCTTTTTATAGCAATGGTGAATGGGAGTTCACTCACAGTTTGGCTCTCTGTTTGTCTGTTATTGCTGTATAGGAATGCTTGTGATTTTTGCACATTGATTTTGTATCCTGAAACTTTGCTGAAGTTGCTTATCAGCTTAAGGAGATTTTGGGCTGAGATGATGGGGTTTTCTAAATATACAATCATGTCATCTGCAAACAGAGACCATTTGACTTTCTCTTTTCCTAATTGAATACCCTTTATTTCTTTCTCTTGCCTGATTGCCCTGGCCAGAACTTCCAATACTATGTTGAATAGGAGTAGTGAGAGAGGGTATCCTTGTCTTGTGCTGATTTTCAAAGGGAATGCTTCCAGTTTTTGCACATTCAGTATGTTACTGGCTGTGGGTTTGTCATAAATAGCACTTATTATTTTGAGATACGTTCCATCAATACCAGTTTATTGAGAGTTTTTAGCATGAAAGGTTGTTGAATTTTGTCAAAGGCCCTTTCTGCATCTATTGAGATAATCATGCAGTTTTTGTCATTGGTTCCCTTTATGTGATGGATTACATTTATTGATTTGCATATGTTGAACCACCCTTGCATCCCAGGGGTGAAGCCGACTTGATCATGGTGGACAAGCTTTTTGATGTGCTGCTGGATTCAGTTTTCCAGTATTTTATTCAGGATTTCTGCATCAATGTTCATCAGGGATATTGGTCTAAAGTTTTCTTTTTTTTGTTGTGTCCCTGCGAGGTTTTGCTATCAAGGTGATGCTGACCTCATAAAATGAGTTAGGGAGGATTCTCTCTTTTTCTATTGTTTGGAATAGTTTCAGAAGGAATGGTACGAGCTCCTCTTTGTACCTCTCGTAGAATTCGGCTGTGAATCCATCTGGTCCTGGAATTTTTTTGGTTGGTAGGCTATAATTAATGCCTCAATTTCAGAACTTGTTATTGGTCTATTCAGGAATTTCACTTCTTCCTGGTTTAGTCTTGGTAGTATTCTCTGATGAGAATATGCATTTCTGTGGGATCAGTGGTGATATCCCCTTAATCATGTTTTATTGCATCTATTTGATTCTTCTCTCTTTTCTTCTTTATTAGTCTGGCTAGTGGTCTGATTTGTTGATCTTTTCAAAAAACCAGCTCCTGGATTCATTGATTTTTTGAAGGGTTTTTCGTGTCTCTATCTCCTTCAATTCTGCTCTGATCTTATTTGTGTCTTGTCTTCTGCTAGCTTTTGAATTTGTTTGTTCTTGCTTCTCTAGTTCTTTTAATTTTCATGTTAAGGTGTCAATTTTAGATCTTTCCTGCTTTCTCTTGTGGACATTTAGTGCTATAAATTTCCCTCTACACACTGCTTTAAATGTGTCCCAGAGATTCTGGGACGTTGTGTCTTTGTTCTCATTGGTTTCGAAGAACATTTTTATTTCTGCCTTCAATTCTTTATTTACCCAGTAGTCATTCAGGATCAGGTTACACAGTTTCCATGTAGTTGTGAGGTTTTGAGTGAGTTTCTTAATCCTGCATACTAATTTGAATGCATTGCGGTCTGAGAGACTGTTTGTTATGATTTCCATTCTTTTGCATTTCCTGAGGAGAGTTTTACTTCCAATTATGTGGTCAATTTTAGAATAAGTGCAATGTGGTGCTGAGAAGAAGGTATATTCTATTGATTTGGGGTGGAGAGTTCTGTAGATATCTTTTAGGTCCACTTGGTCCAGAACTGAGTTCAAGTCCTGGATATTCTTGTTAATTTTCTGTCTCATTGATCTAATATTGACAGTGGAGTGTTAAAGTCTCCCACTATTATTGTGTGGGAGTCTAAGTCTCTTTGTAGGTCTTTAAGAACTTGCTTTATGAATCTCAGTGCTCCTGTATTGGGTGCATATATGTCTAGGATAGTTAGCTCTTCTTGTTGCATTGATCCTTTTACCATTATGTAGTGCCCTTCTTTGTCTCTTTTGATCTCTGTTGGCTTAAGATCTGTTTTATCAGAAACTAGGATTGCAAGGATTGCAACCCCTGCCTTTTGTTACTTTCCACTTGCTTGGTAAATGTTCCTCCATCCCTTTATTTTGAGCCTATGTGTATGAGATGGGTCTCCTGAGTACAGCACATTGATGGGTCTTGACTCTTTATCCAATTTGCCAGTCTGTGTCTTTCAATTGGGGGCATTTAGCTCATTTACATTTAAGGTTAATATTGTTATGTATGAATTTGATCCTGTCATTATGATACTAGCTGGTTATTTTGCTCATTAGTTGATGCAGATTTTTCATAGTGTCAATGGTCTGTATAATTTGTTACGTTTTTGCAGTGGCTGTTACCAGTTGTTCCTTTCCATGTTTAGTGCTTCCTTCAGGAGCTCTTGTAAGGCAGGCCTGGTGGTGACAATATCTCTCAGCATTTGCTTGTAAAGGATTTTATTTCTACTTCAATTATGAAGCTTAGTTTGCCTGGATATGAAATTCTGGCTTGAAAATTCTTTTCTTTAGGAATGTTGTATATTGGCCCCCACTCTCTTCTGGCTTGTAGGCTTTCTGCCAAGAGATCCACTGTTAGTCTGATGGGCTTCCCTTTGTGGGTAACTCAACCTTTCTCTCTGGATGCCCTTTATATTTTTTCCTTCATTTCAACCTTGGTGAATCTGATGATTTTGTGTCTTGGGGTTGCTCTTCTTGAGGAATATCTTAGTGGTGTTCTCTGTATTTCCTGAATTTGAATGTTGGCCTGTCTTGCTAGGTTGGGGAAGTTCTCCTGGATAATATCCTTGAGAGTGTTTTCCAACTTGGTTCCATTCTCTCTGTCACTTTCAGGTAAACGAATCAAACATAGATTCAGTGTTTTAACATATTCCTCTATTTCTTGGAGGCTTTGTTCATTTCTTTCACTCTTTTTTCTCGAATCTTTTCTTCTTGCTTTATTTCATTGAGTTGATCTTCAATCTCTGATATTCTTTCTCCTGCTTGATTGATTCAGCTATTGATACTTGTGTATGCTTCATGAAGTTCTTGTGCTGGGTTTTTCAGCTCCATCAGTTCATTTATATTCTTCTCTAAACTGGTTATTCTAGTTAACAATTCGTCCTACCTTTTTTTTTCAGGCTCTTAGCTTCCTTGCATTGGGTTAGAACACGCTCCTTTAGCTTGGAGGAGTTTGTTATTACCCGCCTTCTGAAGCCTACTTCTGTCAATCCCTCAAACTCATTGTCTGTCCAGCTTTGTTCCCTTGCTGGTGGGGAGTTGTGATCTTCTGGAGGAGAAGAGGCATTCTGGCTTTTGGAGTTTTCAGCCTTTTTGCACTGGTTTCTCCCCATCTTTGTGGATTTATCTACCTTTGGTCTTTGATGTTGGTGATGTTGATACTATTCCTTTATGTTTGTTAGTTTTCCTTCTACCAGTCAGGTCCCTCTGCTGCAGGTTTGCTCGAGTTTGCTGGAGGTCCACTCCAGACCCTGTTTGCCTGGGTATCACCAGTGGAGGCTCAGTTGGAAATGCATGAACCACCTGCCTTCTGTGTTGATCCCACTGGGTGCTGCAGACCGGAGCTGTTCCTATTCAGACATCTTGCCAGCTCTCCTGTGATACTTTTATGAATGGGTGTAGTCCTGTCTTCTCAAGGTCCCCAAATAACTTGAGGTTCCTGGGCCAGTCAGAAAGTGACATTCTTTACTTCTTACCACAAGGACAGCAACTTTGTAAAGGACCCTTGTAGACAAGACACCAAGCCAGTCATTCTAAGGGGCTTTGCATTGGTGCTATAAAGTCAAGCTCAATTCCTTAAAGTGGTCTGGTTGTATCTGCCGTTCGAGTTAAAGACTTGATAAAACAAACAGTGTCTCCAATTGAATCCTGTTACCAAAAATAGATTCTTATTGAAATTATGCAAATAATTATATTGCCATAATTTAGGAATGCTCACGAATGGCTTCTGAATTCTGGAGAAATCAGTTAGAGAGACAGATAAATGGCTCAAATTTTTGTTCACAATGTAGTTTTTCTAACGTAGGGTAAGTTAAAAATAGCTGAAAAGAAAAAAAATTCTTGACTTTGGAAAACAAAACATAAAGAGAATCAACAATGTTTCCAATGGAAGGGCCATGAATAAAATCTTTTCCTTCTTTTATAAGTTCAGTCCAATGTAACTAAATCTTGTTCTGCTTGATTTCAAAGAGCAATTCTCATTCAGTTTTTTGTGTTTTGCTTGATTTCAATTGGAAATTCTCATTCAGCTTTTTAGAGTCCTGGAAGATTTTCCTAGTCCAATGGTATGATCCCCAAAGTTATCTGAAACCATATTTAAGAGAACTTGTCAGAGTCCTTTCCATTAAAAGTAATTTAGATGATAGCTGATTGTAAAGGCTTTTTTTTTTTTGAGACATGGTCTGGTTCTATCACTCAGGATGGAGTGCAGTGGCATGATCTTGGCTCACCACAATTTCTCCCTCCCAAACTCAAGCCATCCTCCTACCTCAGCCTCCGAAGTAGTTGGGACCATAGGCATGCACCATCATGCTGGCCAATTTTTGTATTTTTGTAGAGACAGGGTTTTACCATGTTGCCCAGGATGCTTTCAAACTTCTGAGTTCAAGCAATTCACCCACCTCGGCCTTGCAAAGTGCTGGGATTTTTACACGTGTGAGCCACCGTGCCCTGCACCACGCCCAGCACCGTGCCCTGCACAGTCTCCAGCAGCACGCCCGGCCTGTAAAGGGTTTTAGAGAAGAACTTTAAACAATCACCGTGGATGACAAAAACTTAGAATATCCTTTGGTTAAAATCCAGTGGAAGTTCTCGACCTGCGAGAAAATTTATTTATTTCTATTATATGTAGCATTTTAAGATAACAGCCAGAATCATGACTGATGGCAACACATCAGATCCATCAGACTTCCACAAATTTTATATAATCTTTAGAATATTCATATTAATAATATATCTATACATATACAACTTTAGAGAATATTTAACATCATCAAAATTATGACTGATACCATATTAGATTTTTATAATTTATATAACATTTAAAATATTTATATTAATAATGTACCTATAAATGTAACCAAAAGAAGATTTAGGCCAGGCACAGTGGCTCATGTCTGTAATCCCAACACTTTGGGAGGCCAAGTTGGACAGATCATCAGAGGTCAGGAGTTTGACACCAGCCTGGCCAACATGGAGAAATCTTGTTTCTACTAAAAATACAAAATTAGCCGGGCGTGGTGGCATGTGTCTGTAGTCTCAGCTACTTGGGAGGTTGAGGCAGGAGAATCGCTTGAACCTTGGGGCAGAGGTTGCAATGGACCTAGATCACGCCACTGCACTCCAGCCTGGGTGACAAAGCAAGATTCTGTCTCAGAGAAAAAAAAAAGAAGATTTAGTGTTACTTATCTTTTGGCAATGCTTCCCATACAATGTTATCAAATAAGATTTAGCAAAGATGTCAAAAAATTGAAAACATTTGACCAAAACAGAATGACAGTTTATTGTTTTTTATTTTATTATTTTTTTGAGACAGGGTCTCACCCTGTTGCCCAGGCTGGAGTGCAGTGGTGAAATCATGGCTCACTGCAGCCTCAACCTCCCAGGCTCAGGTGATCCTCCACCTTAGTATCCCAAGTAGCCAGGACTATGAGCACTTGTTACGACACATAGCTAGCTTTTGTATTTTCAGTAGAGATGCGGTTTTGCCATTTTGCCCAGGCTGGACTTGAACTCCTGGGCTCAAGTGATCCACCCACCTTGGCTTCCCAAAGGGCCAGAATTACAGACATGAGCCGCTGCACACAGCCACATGTCATTTTTAAATAACAGTCATTCATTTAATTAGCATGACAACCAAAAGACATCAAAAGCAACGTAGAAGGTTACATGGATGTGATAACTGAAAACCCTCAGTTTTCCCAAGTAATTAAAAAAAAATAAAGGCAACACATGGATTATCTTGATAAAACCTAAAATCTTTATTACAGGCCAGTCATTTAAAGGGTAAAACTCCTGTGGCATAACTGTGTCTTCTTACGGGAAACTAATTTAAATCACTTGGAAGTCAATTCCGATGACAAGGAGACTTGAATTTAATTAGACATAGAAAGAGTGTGTCCAGGGTCATGAGTGAGCATAATATTACAAAGGAATGTCAACAGGAAAACCAGAGCATAGAGCAGTGGGGATCCATAGCTCACAATGATAGCAAGAAAGTTTCCTGGTTACATGAAGTAATTAAGACATATTTAAAAGCCAAGAGTATAAAATTAGACCTGATGAAAAAGCTGAAGGAGTTATCATCCCAGCCAAGCAGGAAACCCAAGCCTTTTATTCCTTCTCAAGAAGGAACAGGAGACAGTGATGTGACCTGTGAGTCATGTGTAACATGAAAGTACAGGAAAAGTTGAACTTCTGATATACAAATCTGAAAAGTTTTTATAGTAACAGATTTCAGGATTAAAAGTCAATATTTATTACCTCTTATTATGAGCAAATAAATACATTAAGAAAACCTTGTTGTTTTAACCCAAATTTTTAGTTTTTTATCACTGTTTTTAATATTATAGCTAATTTAAATAAACTTTATAAACAATCTATCTGATCTCAATCAGTTTTGGCCTCGATGTAAGATTTACATAAACTTTTAATAACCTTGTATAATTTTTTCATCTTTCCCAACTTTTTATACACATGTAGTTTTATCTATCTTTTTTATTCCTTCAATTTAAAATAATCCTTAAAAATCTCTAAGTGAATTTACTTTCTCTGAAACAAAAACCGGTATACATTTTGCATACAGAATTGTTTCTCTTGTATCTAGTAGTCTTAATCACACATATCTAGCAAGATATTAACACTTAGTAACCCTTATTTTAATAAAAAACCTAGGAAGCAAGAAATCTGGAATTGTCATATAGCAGTATCTTACATATGAGAATAATTTCATAATTTAGAATTATGTGTTCCTAAAACATATTTTTTAAGATGGATTTTCGCTCTTGTTGCCCAGGCTGGAGTGCAGTGGTGTGATCTCAGCTCACTGCAATCTCCGCCCCCCAGGTTCAAGTAATTCTCCTGCCTCAGCCTCCCGAGTAGCTGGGATTACAGGAACCCACCACCACACCTGGCTAATTTTTTGTATTTTTTAGTAGAGATGAGGTTTCACCATGTTGATCAGGCTGGTCTTGAGCTCCTGACCTCGGGTGAGCCACCCGCCTTGGCCTCCCAAAGTGCAGGGATTACAGACGTGAGCCACAGTGCCTGGGCTAAAACATAAGTTTTAAATTGGAAATAACCCAGATATTTAATGAGTATCTATTATTTAATTTAACATAACTAAAATTTCAAAAATAGGCTGGGCATGGTGGCTCACACCTGTAATCCCAACACTTTAGGAGGCCTAGGCAGGAGTATCATGAAACCAGCCTGAGAAAACTAGTGAGATGCTGACTCTACAAAAAAAATAAAAGTTAGCTGACCATGGTGGTGTATGCCTGTAATTAACAGCTACATGGGAGGCTGAGGTGGGAGGATCCCTTGAGTGCAGAAGGTCAAGGTTGCAGTGAGTTGTGATCATGCCACTGCACTTCAGCATGGGTGACAGACAGAGACACTGTCTCAAAAAAATTTCAAAAATACATTAAGATGTCTTGTATAGACATTTATCCATTTACATTTACTTATTTTTGACAGTTTATCTAGAGTATTTGTGAGAACTGAGGTATTAGACAAAGCTAGTCATCATTTCTAGGTTATTTTCTTGTTAACCATGTTATAGCCTGTGAATATCAGGTGTTCACGTAAGTGAGGACTTCAAAGTTAAATACATGGGTATTTTACCAATAACTCAGAAAATTCCATTATTTTTGTTCAACAAACCATATTAAATTGGTCTTATGTATTTAAAAAATCACATAAACAAATATTCTTTTTTCCTGTGTTTATAGCTTTATAACCTTCATGCCAAACCCTAGCACCTTAAAATATCTAGCAAATGTAAATATAAAACACAGTCAAAAATGTATGCTGACAAGTCTGAAGAGATTTCTATTTTCTATTTTTATTTTATCAATACTTTTTAAATTATTTGTATTTATAAAAGAACTCTTTTGTCTGGGCACAGTGGTTCATGCCTGTATCCCAGCACTTTGAGAGGCTGAGGCAAGAGGATCACTTGAGCTCAGGAGTTTGAGACCAGCCTGGGCAACATAGTGAGACCCAATCTCTACTAAGAATAAGATAAAAAATTGCCAGGCATGGTGGTGCGTGCCTATTGTCCCAGCTACTAGAGAGGATGAGGCAGGAGGATTGCTTGAGCCTGGGAGGTTGAGATAACAGTGAGCTATGATCCCACTACTGCACTCCAGTCTGGGGAACAGAGTGAGACCTTAGAGTGAGACCTTGTCTCAAAAAGAGAAAAAAATAAAGAATTGTTTCATTCTTTTGTTTTTCTTCAGCCAAGTGACCTTGAATTAGTAACACCACAGACAGTAAGTCTTATCTCAACACCAGTAGACAAATCAGCAGATTCAAAGTAGGCAGGGAAAAAAAAAAGATAGGCAAAAGAACTGAGACTTTTTCACTTTAGGGTTTTTAAAAATAGTAACTATTTGAGTTCTGAATTTTCTTTCATGTAATTTGGCCATCAGGTTTAAAGTGTGCACTAGAGGTCAGGTGCAGTGGCTCATGAGTGTAATCCCAACACTATCGGAGGCTGAGGCAGGTGGATCACTTGAGGCCAGGAGTTTGAGACCAGCCTGGCCAATGTGACAAAACCCCATCTCTACTGAATATACAAAAATTAACTGGGTGTGGTAGTGTCCACCTGTAGTCCCAGCTATTCAGGAGGCTGAGGAAGGATAATTGCTCAAACCTGGGAGGCGGAGGTTGCAGTGAGCCGCGATTGTACCACCATACTCCATCCTGGGCAACAGAGCAAGACTCTGTGTCAAAAAGAAAAAGGAAAAAAAAAGTATATATATATGTATAGGCTGGGCACAGCGGCTCATGCCTGTAATCCCAGCAGTTTGGGAGGCCAAGACGGGTGGATCACTTGAGATCAGGAGTTTGAGACCAGCCTGGCCAACATGGTGAAACTTCATCTCTACTAAAACCACAAAAATTAGCCGGGTATGGTGGCGCACACCTGTAATCGCAGCTACTCAGGAGGCTGAGACAGGAGAATTGCTCGAACCTGGGAAGTGGAGGTTGCAGTGAGCCAAGATCACACCACTGCACTCCAGCATGGGCAACAGAGCAAGACTCTGTCTCAAAAAAATGTGTGTGTGTATGTGTGTGTGTGTGTGTGTATGTGTGTGGCTAGAATGGTCCATAATATATAGCCAGCTCGAGTCCCAGAAAACCTAGCAAGCTTAAGGTTAGAGCTTCTCATTTTGGCCTTTTCAAGATTAAATCTCCTTTAGTAGACCCTTCCCCTCTAGGGAGGTACTTGCCGGAGCGCTGCCTGAAGTTGGTTTTCTGATGCCCTGTTGTTTCTGTTCTGAATGGTTTATTTCTCATTATAAGAGCTCAGCAAAGCAGGCAGAGTTAAAAAGCAGAGACATGAAGGCTTTAAAATCATGGACTTCACTCCTACACTGAATCTCAGGTCCCCAGAAAGACAGAAACACCATGGGACCACAGCAAAGGCAGAAGGAGGAGTGAGAGAGGGAGGTGGACAGAACAACAAACAGGAGTTGGCTCTCATTTTTTCACGCGTGCCATTTTCTTTAGGTTTTTCTAGTTTATGGAGACTCTTTGTTCCAGTTGAGCACACAGATAAACTAGAGATCTCACAAGGCTTTTGCTGAGAACATCAAAGCCTTTAACCTCTGTTGGGCCAAATATTTAGACCAAAAATACAGACAGACACACAAAAGCCAGAACCGGACCAGATTGAGTAGCTTAGTGGCTACAGCCTTTATTCCCTTTATTCTTTAGGATACGAACTCAAACCAGATTCAGGGTTCTAACCCAACCAGGACCCCCCTGGGGTGAAACTGAAACCCCACAGTCTAGACAAGGTTGGGGGTCTTTTTTTATTTTTTTGAGATGGAGTTTCACTCTTGTTGCCCAGGCTGGAGTGCAATGGTGCAATATTGCCTCACCGCAACCTCCGCATCTCAGGTTTAAGCACTTATCCTGCCTCAGCCTCCCAAGCTGGGATTACAGGCTTGTGCCACCACGCCCAGCTCATTTTGCATTTTTAGTAGAGACGGGGTTTCTCCATGTTGGTCAGGCTGGTCTCGAACTCCCAACCTCAGGTGATCCGCACACCTAAGCCTCCCAAAGTGTTGACATTACAGGCATGAGCCACCGTGCCCGGCCTGCTTGTTCTTTTCATTTCATCCTGATCTCCGAATACAGGAGAGTAGCTGATTTGGTGTTCACTAACAAGCACAGAAGCTTTGTTACATTTACAGTGTCATTCTTGGCAAAACCTGAAGTTTTGCCTCCTGGATTCATGCCATTCTCCTGCCTCAGCCTCCTGAGTAGCTGGGACTATAGGCGCCCGCCACCTCACCCAGCTAATTTTTTGTATTTTTAGTAGAGACGGGGTTTTGCCGTGTTAGCCAGGATGGTCTCGATCTCCTGACCTTGTGATCCGCCCACCTCGGCCTTCCAGAGTGCTGGGATTACAGGCGTGAGCCACCGCGCCCAGCCAGAAGCTCTAATTTCAATGATGATTGTGCTTTTTCTCTCTTCCTCAGCATCTGGCTCATGATAAAATTTCAGGTGTCTTGATGGTATCTAAATCAGTTGTTGATTCAGTCCTGGAGAAACACAAGCATAACCTCTATGCCAAGTTATAATTTTACCTATTTCCCAACTTTTTGTTATTGGATCTCTCCACCAAACCAGTTGGTCTGCTTCTGTCTTTGCAGCTGGTTTCTGTAGATGCTGTTCAGCTGCTGGTAACATCTGGCCTTTGGGCAGGCTCAAAAATTTGAAAGTTAATAATGCAAGATTCAATTGTGTATGGGCTATCCCGTAATCCCTGTTTCTCCCCATTTTTTGTTTTTATTATCAGTTGTTCATCTGTATGAAATCTTAACTGAGCATTTTCAATTAACTGTGTGGAATGACCCATGTATGAAGAATCAGAAATCACATTAACAGGCATATCAAAAGCAGTCAACACCTCAATTACAGCTACAAGCTCCGCCTTTTGAGCTGAAGTATAGGGTGTCTGGAAAACTTTAGCTTTTGATCCAGAATAAGAACCTTTACCATTACTAGACCCATCTGTGAAACAATGAAAACGCTTAGCAGGCTGCAGGTTGTTTACTGCAGGAATTGTAAATGCAAACCGTTCACAGTCTTGCTCAGCTAAAAGGGTAGTAAAGAAACAGTCTTTTAAATCTGTGACTATTAAAGGCCAATTTTTTGGAATTATAGTAGAGAAGGGAATCCTGGCTGTTATATTTCCATAGGTTGTATAACTGAATTGATGGCTCTTAAGTCAGTTAACATTTTCCATTTACCTGATTTTTTCTTAATTATGAAAACTGGAGAATTCCAAGGGGAAAATGTTGGAGCTATGTGCCCATTTTCTAATTGTTCAGTAACTAATTTCTCTAAAGCATCCAGTTTCCCTTTGCTTAGCAGCCATTATTCTATCCAAATTGGCTTATCTGTTAACCATTTTAAAGGTATAGGTTCTGGAGGCTTAACTATGGCCACCATCAAAAATGGTATCCTAATCTTTGGCAGGAACTTTGTCTTTCCGTTTGAAGCAGTTCTTTCAAACCTTGCAATTTTTTTTCTACTCCTATACCAGGGACATGCCCCATTTTGTGCATCATATGTTGACTTTGAGGGCTGTATAATTGTTATGGAATTAGAACTTGTGCTCCCCATTGTCATAATAAATATCTCCCCCATAAATTTATAGGTACAGAAGTTGCAATTGGTTGAACAGTCCCAGGTTGTCCATTGGGCCCTTCACAATGCAAAGTATAGCTACTCTGATACACTTCTGGAGCTTTAGCAGTTTCCACTGTGTTAAATTGAGTGGGCTGAATTGGCCACATGGATGGCCAGTGCTGTAGAGAAATAATTGAAATGTCCACTCCTACCAAAAAAAAAAAAAAATAGTATCTACCAAACCTTTAAAGTTCTTTCCATGGATAGTTATTTCACAGATAGGATGTTTATCAGTAATTTGATTTACCCAATAAGCTGCCTTGCCTTTTTTATTTGTGCTTCCAAATCCTCCAGTTCATTTAATTTCACTTTTTCCCATTCCCACATACGGCACACTCAGGAGCTGTGCTATGCGCACTCCTGGCTGTGCTTTCCAGGGAACAGAACTAAATATCACAATTTGAATTTCCTCATTGTAATCTGAATCAATGACTCCAGTGTGTATTTGTACCCCTTTTAAACTTAAACTAGACCTTCCTAAAAGTAATCCCATTGTCCCTGCTCGCAACGGTCCACAGACTCCTGTTGGGACCTTTTGCGGGGGTGCCCCAGGCAGAAGGCTCACAGCTTTTGTGCAGCATAGATCTACTGCAGCACTATGGGCTGTGGTGGGGAAAGATAATGTATGGGGGTGAGGGAATGGCCTGAGATGGAAATGCCCTGGTTTAGAACAGGGCCTGGGATGGGCCTCTCAGGGAGTTTTCCAAAATCGGGTTCCCTTCTTTATCAAACTTAGAGTGACACTGATTAGCCCAAAGTTTTCCTTTTTTACATTTTGGACATATTTCAGGATCAGCAGTTTTGTTTTTTCCCCTATCTGGTGGCCTGACTAGGTGATTTTTTTTTTTTACATTCTTTTTAGTATGACCATGCTTCCCACAGTTAAAACAAGCTCCAGGAAATAGAGTATTTCGTTTATCCACTCTCAGTCCTGCCATCGCCTGTGCCAACAAAGTAGCTTTATGTAGATTATCTCTGATATCATCACAGGCCTTGTTATAATCAACTAAATGTGCTTTCCCTCTGATAGGTCGCAGAGCAGCCTGGCAATAAGGATTAGCATTGTCAAAACCAATAACTGCAACACTATATCCTAAGCAGCCAAATCTGCAATCATCTTTTTAAGAGACTCCTGTAACCAAGCTATAAAATCCACATATGGTTCTCTTGGTCCCTGTTTTATAGCACTAAAGGAAGGGTATTGTTCTCCACATGAAGTGATTTATTCCAAGCTCTAATGCACACTCCTCTAAGCTGTTCTATGGCATCATCCTGCATGACCACTTGTGCATGTAAACCAGCCCAGCCACCAACCCCCAAAAGTTGGTCTGCAGTTATATTAATTTGAGGTTGGGCCCAGGCATTGCGAGCAGCCTGAATGGAAGCTTCATCTGCCTACTAAGTTTTAAATTGTAAGAACTGAGCAGGAGTTAGACAAGCTAGAGTGAAAGTGTCCCAGTCAGTAGGAATCATCCGACTGGAAACAGCAACATTCTTTAACAGTCCCATTTCAAAAGGAGAACCTGGTCCATACTGATTTATAGCTTGTTTAATTTTTTTGAGTAATTTAAAAGGAAAAGGCTCAAATGTAGCTATAATATTTCCCTGTTGATCTGGGGGGTGTATTCAAACAGGGAACTGCCAAGCCTCTAAATCCCACTTTTGTCTAGCTTGCTGTATTCCTGCCTGAATAGAACTAAGAGCAGTCGCTCAAGGCGCTGCTCGAACAGTCACCAGGGCAACTACTTTTCACCCAGTGTCCTCCAGAAAAGAAAGATCTGGAGGGTCGTTTTCTTCAAAATAGTAATGAGGGTGTGCAGAAGGATAGGGATGAACCTCTCCCTCCTTTTCTGCTTTAGCTTTAGGTGACAAATAAACCTGGTCTGTAACCTCTACTGTTACTTTGTTATACTCTCCTTCCTCCTCATCATCAGTGTGAAAAAGTTCCAAGGTAGAACGAACCACAGCCCACACTTGTCCTATTGCTACCCTGATGCTTCCGAGCTCCCCTTCTTACTCACCACGGGGATTGCTTTAAGAGTACTCGGGTGTCCTCCAGCTAGTTCCACATTCTCCAATCGTTGCTCCAGCGATCCTTTGACCTGTATTTGAGCCCCCATGAATGGGCACCACTTGCTGAGACCAGGTCTGTTGGAGAGACCCTAACCCAGCAGCACTAGAGGAATTAAAGACACACACACAGAAATATAGAGGTGTGAAGTGGGAAATCGGGGGGGGGGGGGCGGGTCTTACAGCCTTCAGAGCAGAGCCCTGAACAGAGATTTACCCACGTATTTATTAACAGCAAGCCAGTCATTAGCATTGTTTCTATAGATATTAGATTAACTTAAAGTATCCCTTATTCTTAAGGCACAGATCACTCATGCTATCGTTTGTGGCTTAAGAATGCCTTTAAGTGGTTTTCCACCCTGGACGGGCCAGGTATTCCTTGTTCTCATTCCAGTAAACCCACAACCTTCCAGCCTGGGTGTTATGGCCATCATGAACATGTCACAGTGCTGCAGAGATTTTGTTTATGGCCAGTTTTGGGGCCAGTTTATGGCCGGATTTGGGGAGGCTTGTTCCCAACAGTTCCTCAGTGTAAGGGTGCCCTAACTCCTGTGGGGACCTTCTTTGGTGGCTCCCCAGGAAGTAAGGAGATGGGAATTGTGCTGTAGAGGTCTACAGCAGCACTGCTTGCTGAGGCGGGGGACAATTGCTGTACATATGTAAGGGCAGTGGCTGTGCTGGGTATGCCTCAGTTTGTTGAGGGGCTTGAGGCGGGTCCCTCTTCCTATTTCCTGAAAGAGGTTGTCCATCTTTGCTAAATTTAGAATGACACGGACTTGCCCAGTGATTGCCTTTCTTACACCAGGGACGTACGTTGGGACTTTTCTGTTGATTGATGGTAGTAGTTTTCGTCTTTTGAATTCCTTTCTACATTCCTTTCTTGTGTCCAATTTGCCCACAATTAAGTCAAGAGCCTGAGAAATGAAGCATATTTTTTCTTACTCTTAATCTAGCCACAGCCTGAGCTAAAAGAATAACCTTATGTAAGTTATCTCCAATGCCATCGCAAGCCTTAATATATTTAGTTAAATGGGCCCTCTCTGTCTGGGATCTAATAGCAGTTTGACACTCTGCATTAGCATTATTGTACGCAAGAAGCTGTATTACAACATCCTGAGCTGTTTTGATCATTTGCGGCTTTATACACAGCCTCTTGGAGCTGAGCAATAAAATTAATATATGGTTCTTTAGGTCCTTGTCAGACAGAACTGAAATAAGGATACTTTTCCCCGGTAACATTTATCCTTTTCTATGTATGTAAGCACATGAAGCACAGCTGAACAATGGCAACATCTTCCATTAGTGCTTGATTCTCTAATCAACCCCAGTTAGGGCCAACTCATATTAACTGATCAAAGAAAACAGGCACAGGTGGCTGCACTTGTGTGTTTTCTTTTGCCTGAGTTTGAGCTTCATCAGCCTACCAAGTTTTAAACTGCAAGTACTGAGATGGAGTGAGAACAGGTTTTGTCAAAGTATCCTAATTATATGGTAGTAATCTATTATCAAGAGCCATATTTTTAAATAAAGTTTGCACAAAAAGAGAGTTCAGTCCATATTGACTAATGGCTTGCTTAAATTCTTTAGTAACTTAAAAGAGAAAGCAGCCTAATTAGCTATATTCTGTCCTACTTGCTGGATTATAGTAACGGGAAATTGCCATGCTTCAAGGTCTCCCTTGGCTTTAGCTTTTTGAATAGAATTTTGTCTACCACCACCAATTGCTCCAGGTTTTAATGTTGTAACTACAGGAGCAGTAAGTTTTTCAGCTAATTTATTTTCTCACCCATTTAGAGGAGAGAGAGGAGGTGGCCATTCACTTAATTCAGCAGGTGGAGCCAACGGGCTAGTAAAACATACTTTTAAAAGTTTTTCTTTCTTTTCTTTAATCTCGTCTGGTAGCTGCTCCCCACACTCAGAATTTGAAGTTAGTTTTTTACACTCATCCTCCTCTTCCTCATCTGAGTCTGCCTCATCATCTGTTTGAAATGGCTCAAGGGCTGCCTTTATTAGTGCCCACACTGACCATACAGAAACTAGAATTTCTGCTCCATCTTTATATGTCTTTTAAAAAATCTCTTCCAATTCTCTCCCATTCATCCAACTTCATAGTCCTTTGTTCTGGAAACCATGGGCAAAACTGCTTTACTGTACTAAAGAGTGATAACAAATTCTAAGTACTAATTTTCATTCCCCATCTTTGTATGTCCTCGGGTGTCTTTTGATGTTGTGTCCTCTGCTTTCACATGCTCCAGCCTTCCTTCACCGGGTCTTTGTCACCCCATGTTGGGCGCCAGGAATGTTGGGGTGATCAGACCCAACACTAGGTCATGGGGGTGATGAAGTCCGGCAGAGTCAAAGGAATGAGAAAAAGACAGTTTGAGAGAGAAAGTGGGACCAGGAGACCATCACGAGTGTGGAGCCTGCAAAGTCCCCAAGCTCTGGGAGCCTACGCTATTTGTTGGTGCTCAAACAAACAGGTGGAGAGGATTTAGGGGTTGAAAGGAAACGGTGTATCAAGTGAATGAGAAACATATGGCCCTGCCTCAGCTTCTCTTCCAACACTCAGCTTTTCTCCCAACACATTCCCCTTATGAACAGGAATAAAATAGGGATGCCTGTTCTCACCACTCCTGTTTAACAAGTCCTAGCCAGAGCAATCAGGCAAGAGAAAGCTATAAAAGGCATCCAAATAGGAAATGAAGTCAAATTATCTCTCTTCACTGATGATATGATTCTACACCTAGAAATCCCTAAAGACTGTGCCAAAAGGCTCCTAGAACTGATAAAAAAAACTTCAGCAAACTTTGAGGATTAAAAAAAATTAACATATAGAAAGAAGTATCATTTCTGTACACCAAAAATGTTTAAACTGAGAGGTAACTCAAGAGTGCAATCCTGTTTACAAGAGCAACCCCCAAAATAAAATAAAAGAAAAGAAGAATATGTCTAAGCAAGGAGGTAAAGGATATCTAAAAGGAGAACTACGAAACACTGCAGAAAGAAATCATAGATGACAAAGCAAATGGAAAACTATTCCATGCTCATGGATTAGAAAGATCAATATTGTTAAAATGGCTATACTGCCAAAAGCAATCTACACATTCAACACTATTCCTATGAAACAACCAATGTCGTTTTTCACAGAATTAGAAAAAAAATATTCTAAATTTCATATGGATTTTTAAAGAGCCCAGACAACCAAAGGAAACCTAAGCAAGAAGAACAAAGCTGGAGACATCACATTACTTGACTTCATACTATACCCTAAGGCCACAATAGACAAAATAGCATGGTAGCGATATGAAAACAGACACAAAGACCAATGAAACAGAATAGAGAACCCGAAAATAAACATGCACCTACAGCCATCAGCTTTCCCAGGGTAACACAAAGAGAGCCAAGTGGCACCTGCACATTACGCTGTGGAAGAAAAACCCAAGCTCAAGAAACCTCAACTTGTATTATGGGAAGTTCACTTGGCTGTACCCTTCCCAAGAGGGAGAAATTATCTGCATTATACTAGACAGTAAATAAACTTTTCCTTTGTTCCAGAAGGAGGTACTGGTTTTCTATTCCAAGGCTGTTTTCTATACAAACATGCTTGAAAACAATCATTTGGAACAAGAAAGTCAGCGTCCATACTTGCAAAATGTGTGGAAATCAAAGAGACCCAAAAACTGTTTCTCTACCAATTTCTATTTTTTTAAAATCACATTTTCCCCATATAATAAGCTTTTAATATGTGTTAATATTCTGAAATTGTCTTAGCATTTACCCCCATTTCTGAGTCCTGAAGGATACAATAAATTTAATTTAATTTAGTAACACTTCAAATAGTAGTGATTGTAATAGCAGAGCTAGTTTGTAGCATAAAGAAAAAATAATAATATTAGGTGACACAAATAATGCTAGCCACCATTTCTAAGTGTCATGGTAAGTACAGTGATTATTTTCTTTTTTTCTGACTCTTTTTTATTGTATTTTTTTATTTTTTTTCCCATAGGTTATTGGGGTACGGTGGTATTTGGTTCGAGTCCATGAATAACTTCTTTACTGGTTATTTGTGAGATTTGGGTGCACCTATCACCCGAACAGTGTACACTGCACCTTATTTGTTATCTTTTATCCCTCGCCCCCCACCCTATTAAATAATAGACAAAAAATAATGGGTTTAGAATAAATGAGTTCAAATGAATTGTCAAACCTATGTGGGAAAAGTGGAATCAGTTTGTGAGAAAAAGGAAAAAACCTCAACAGAAATGCTGATAAAGCATCATCCCTTCATGGCTAGAGCTGCCAGGACACTAGAACACCAAAATCAGCTAGGGAAATTTTGTAGAAGTCCCAGATGTACTAGATGTTCTGTGAATACACAGAGATATAATTATAACTGTTACCTGCATGTAGAGTAAAGATGAGAAGTCATTGGTCATGGTGGCAGCTACCTCAGGAGTTACAAAGCAGACGTGGTTCCAGGACAGTGTATGTCAGGGCAAAGCTGTCCTAGGACGCTATTAGGAGTTGGTTATGGCATAGACATTGTAAGTCAGATGGTCTCATTACTTTCAATGACAAAACCAAAATTACTTTTGTATCAGCCTAATACAACGGCCTGGCAAGAGCACAGAAAAAGTCCCTGTGCTGTTAGGTGGGGACCTCTGATGCAGCACAATTCCTTCATTCCCTTCTCCAAAACCCCCCTCTTCCAATTCCACTGAAGAGAGAATCTGATGGAAGTGCTGTGTAAGTAGGCTCAGATATATCTACCACTATAGATAGTAGAGGTGATTCATAAATCCAAGCCTATCAAATACATCATAAAAAAGTTACACGTTTAATTTTTTTTTGAAATTAGGGATCATGATATAAAAGTTATCAGAATCAAAACTGTCAGTAATCTTTAAAAAGAAAAGAAAAAACCTGGACAAATAGATTCAGAGAAGGCCTTGAAGAGAGGGTTCTCATGCTTCTAGGCCTGATACAAACTGTCACAAAATCCACAACCTTGCACAAAGGCCATAGCAACCTTACACAAAATACACTTCTGTGAGGACATCTATCCAGCAACCACCTGCTCAAACTTCAACTGACATCGACCTTGTTGTTGATCTTTATAGTCAAAGATAACTATAACAAAACAATTATATAAGCCTGTTCATTTTTCCTTTATTTATTTTTTTCTACTCCCCCATAATTCCAGGTTGATCACTTTTCTTTTAAAGACCTTGTCTTCCTTTACCATTTGAATCTACACAGTTTGCTTTGTCATGCATATTCCCATTGCAGTGCCCTCCTCCCTAAGATGTGTCTTTTTCCTTTAGAGAACCTTTCTCTGTTTGTTATTTAGGTTTACAATGAGAAGGCGTGAAAAGTAATTTTACTGTCTTCCTAGGAAAAAATCACTGACTTACAATATTTATATTTATTTATTTACATTCCTGGGGATGAGGAATTAAAGATTTCACAAATTTTCTTATTGAGAAGATCGAAGTTTTCATGTGAGCAAAACTGAATATGTAAATTGATATGTAAATTATGCTGCAGATAATATGCTCAAATGTTTACTTGTATTTAATTTGTTACACATGAATATTGCATATGTAAGATAATATACTAAGAAATTATCACATTTAATGAAATGCTTTAATCAAATTCCTGATTGAATTTTTGATATCAATATCTTTTTCCTTGTTTAATCCATCTTTAGAGTGAACAGGGCTGTCTAGGCCAAAGTCCTCACTTCTATCTAAATTGTCTGAGTTACAGAACTTTTTGAATTTATTATGTTGTCACAGGAAGTTTCTTATTGCTTGTTTAAAGGAGTCGCTCTCAATATGATGCGGAATCCAAAAGCACTGAAGGGCATATATCCTGAGTTTCTGTTACTGAAGCCAAAGGTTGCCAATTTCTTGTAGATCCTGCTAGAGTTAAACTTCATTTAAGTAATCATTAAAAGCTGCATTTATTCCCTCACTTGAACTTTTGATTTCACACTATTAGGACTAATCCTCTAAGTCTTTGCTAAGTTATGTTCCTCCTTTTCTTGTGGCTTGATTCTGATGCTCTCTATATGCAACATCAATTGATGTAAAGTACATTCAGGGTAAGAGAGTTTCTTTAAATATTACTTTGTTATTCAAAATAATCACAAAAGCACTCATCGTAGGAAAACTTGTGAGGACTCAAATATAGGGAAATACTTTTTCTTTCTAAGGCACAATTCTCTAAAGAAGTTCACCTTAATTTGAATATACATGGGAAAATATCCTTGTTCACTAATAGTCTATATTCACTCTGTTTTCTTCCCTCATAGACCAGCCGGTTCACTATTATTTTCCAAATGATGTTTGCCTCTTTAGAGTCCAGGCTATCTGCATATCTACTTTTTCCCACAAATTACTGTTTTGAATTGCACTGAATTCAATTCAAAGGGATGTCATTTATAAACAGTGCAAATATATACTGCACGAGGGATCTTAGAAATCATACACATGGTTTGATCCATAAGCTCATATGAGCGTGCAATGTCAACTTCTTTCATGTTTTTTTAAGTCCACTTAAATTCTATTTTAAGCCACCATCTGCCTGTGCTGTTAGGGCAGTTAGCCTTCAATCATTTTAAGATGCTCCTCTCTAAGTACCGTGATAATGATAGAGATATCACCAGTCAGGTGTCCTAGGAAGCCGACTCCGAGTTGGAGATTTGCATGCAAGGAGGTTGAAATGATATTCCCAACACCTGTGGAAGAGTGAAAGCAATAGGATTGGGCGGAGCAGGAAGTCGGCTAGAATGCAATCACTATCATGGCTGCAGTCCACTCTACAGGGATCTTGGTGAGTTTACCTAATGACCTCGAATTGGAGCAAGAAAACCAGGCCATTATATTTCTGTACCAAGCAGTTCTCGGATGTGGGATGCCCTGAGAAGGGACATGAACTTGGATGAAGGAACTTTACTGTGCTGTGAGTATTGTTGCCAGGAGTCAGCTGTCAACACTCCCAGGAGACGGGAAATTATGCTTTAGTCACTGAGGCGGCATCTAGTGTCAGACCACAGCCTTGTTAAACAGAGCCAGACTTTGGAGGATGGTTGGTGGGTTTAAAATTTGGGGCTTGACATCTTGTCCCCACAAGCTGCTGCTGGCCTCTTCCTTGTCCATTTCTGTGTGGCCTGTTTAGGCCCCCCAGCTTCCTGCTTCTTCTTTACCATATTTGGAATGCAAAAATCTACACGTAATTTGGCCCATGGTCCCTTCTGCTTAGACATATCCTTGTAGCTATTTTTTTTTTTAAAGATGACTATGTCTTCTAGAATATTTCTAAGAAATTGCCTAAGTCACCACTGCTCACCAAGAGGCCTTTGTTTTTTCCTCTTCTTAACCATGGGAAAGGAATGTAGGAGGGTAGGGAGTGGATATTTTCTAACCTGGAAAAAACTCATTTTACCCTATATAATTTTTTTTAGCAAATTCCTTCTTTGCACTTACTCCACAATCTTTCCAAATTCTCCCAAATGCTCAAGCTTTTAAAAAACAAAAGACAGAAAGATAGCAGGTTATTAGGTTTTCCACCAAACCTTTTCTTTCTATTCCTTTACATCAGTGAGCTTAGAATAACTCTGCTCCTGGAACTGGGAAAGGGACTTGGGAAAAGAAAGAAAAAAAAAGCTCCCAAAGTTTAGCATCACAAAACATTATAGTCACTGCTATTTTATTATTTATTTATTTATTTATTTACTTTTGAGATGGAGTCTTGTTCTGCCACCAGGCTGGAGTGCAGTGGTGCGATCTCTGCTCACTGCAACCTCCGCGTCCTGGGTTCAAGTGATTCTCCTGCCTCAGCCTACTGAGTAGCTGGGACTACAGGCGTGTGCCACCACACCCAGCTAATTTTTGTATTTTTAGTAGAGATGGGGTTTCACCGTGTTAGCCAGGATGATCTCGATCTCCTGAATCTGTGATCCGCCCGCCTTGGCCTCCCAAAGTGCTGGGATTACAGGCATGAGCCACCGTGAGTGACCCTGCTTTGTAAGTTTTACATCATATATCCCCTGTGTTAGACCAAGAGCTTGTAAAAGCCAGAAGACATACACCATTTATCGTTCAATTAGAGATGTTCACTGATAAAACTGATTCTTCCATCTGAGGGTGGTAATTGTAGTTACAGTAATGTAGATGACAATCTAAGTTATGTTCTATAAACTGTGTCACTGACATCTCAATCTACAGCTAACTTTGATTTTTTAAAAGCAGAGGAGTGGGTTGTATAGGTTTAGAAATACATCCATCAAGCTAGTTAAGTGAGATGGATTCAAGCCTTCAACTCACTGGAATATTTACCAAATTGACTATTCATTAGCTAAAGGAGCCATATAAACAAGGTACTTTTTAAAATTCAAAATTATGTAAGGTTTTATTTCCTTTTTATGTTGTTATGAATTGGATTGTAGAGGTTATAAGGTAAAATAAGATTACTTTTACAGTAAAACATACAACACATTGTCGCAAGAGGGCAGCCTTTGAACACGAATTGCTTCTCAGGCATTCCTTGAAATTTTGAGACAGTTACTTTAATTAACACAACAAAATAATAAAACACTACAGAGGATCTAAGAAGATACTTTGACTTATGCATATTGTTACTTTTTTATTACTGCTAGTGGAAGATGTAATCGACAAGGAAGGTAAGGGCTGAATTTGTTTTATGTAAAAAGACAAATTTCTTTGGGTTTTAGCTTTCAAACATCAAGATAGTAGGTCAATGTCTAAATGAGTGTATCAAAGTTCTCACAATGGCACATGTAAATTCACCTCTTGTCTACCCAAAACTCTAACCAAGCAAAGGCAAGTTGGAAGAATCAGACAAATGTAAGTCCCTAGGATACATAAATGCCACGGGATTTTATGTTTTTAACTTTCAACCTCCTAAGTTTCACTAAGAGACATGTTATTTGGAGAGGTTGCTAAAGTGTATTTGTATGATGTCTCTGTTTACGGTTGGTCTGGACCTCTTTCTGTCCAGTGGTTGCCCTCAACTGATGAGAGTCACCTCTCTAAAGATCATGCTTACGTCCCTGGAGCAGTCCGCAGCACTATCAATGTCTGACGTCCACCTTTTTCCAATTAATATTTCTGTACTTACTGAATTGGAAAACATACAGGTGTTTTTTGCCTGGTCACTTGTGGTTTTACAACACTCCCCCCGCTTCCCCACCACTGCCCCAGGTGATTTTGATGCCAGCCAAAGTGTGAGAACTACTGGCAGCTGCTGGCCGACAGCAGCAAAGGCCCAAATCCTCTGTGTGACTTCAAGACCCGTATCTGGTTTTCAGCCATATTTCCTTCTCCTTCTCACAGCTGAGTCCACTCCTCCTCCCTCACCACCTGTAGGCTATGCTTTCCAGCCTGTGTCCAGGATTAGTCCTGATGTAAGGCACGTGGGGTTTAAGGAGCTCTCTCTTCAGTCTTATTTCCACACCATCTCTGACAGATATATTCCAGTTGTAATCATGGGGCTACCTCCTCTTGTTTCCAGTCCCAATCTCGTTTTCTCTATCACATTCTACCTTGTAATAACCTAAATCTTCTGGTGGGCAAGCTTCTTCCTCAATCAAATTTGTGTTTATGATTGTGTTGGGGATTGGCATAGTAATCCAGGTACTGCTACTGCCTTGAAAGCGGAGACTGCATCCTTCTGTCTGGATATCTTGAGTTTCTGGATTGTAAACCTTATTAGGGCCCATTTTTCCTAGAATTGGAGCCTCTACTTTGTTCTTGCTACTTTAGTTCACCCAGAAAGCACGATCTCTGCCTGAATTTCAAAGTGTTGGCTAGTTTAAATATCCTTTTGTGAGACTTTTGTCTTCCTGCGGGGTGATTTTTTCATCTTACATATCATTGCTAATCTTTTTACCTTGAATATAATTGAAATAGTTTTAATCTGTGTTACCAGCAACAAGAACCCCTTTTATGAGATGAAGAGGCCAGGTCAGTCTCATAACTTGTGTACCCCTCCGTGTGTTGAATTTATGTCAGAGCCAGGTTCTTTCCTATTTGATGTCTCTCACCAAATTCCAGTGTTTATGTCCTAGGAGGTGCCCAATAAATTCTAGAGTTGATACAAGCTGTAATTTTAGAGAAATTAAATTAGCAAGTAGAATTAGATTATATACAACCTAATCAACTTTTTTTTTTTTCCCTGAGGATGACCAAGATTTGGGCTTCAGTGACAATAGTTATCCCCTAAATATTTATACTCAATCTAGGATCACCAGTAAAATGTTGAATAGAGGTGATGAACACACACATCCTTTTCTTGTCCTAATCTATGTGGTTTAAACATTTACGCTTTCACAATTAAATATAATATTGTTTATATGTTTTGTTGTGGATGCTTTCCACCACTTCTAAAAAATTTCTTTTTCTAGCTTGCTGAGAGTTTTTTTTTTTAATCAGCAATAGATATTTCTCCAAAGAAAATATCCAAATTACCAACAGGTACATGAAAAAAATGCTCAGCATCACTAATCATCAGGGAAATGCAAATCAAAACCACAAAGAGATATTGCCTCAAGCCTGTTAGAATGGTCTGATTAAAAGAAAAAGATAACGAGTGTTAACAATGGGGAGAAATTGGAACACTTGTACAGTGTTTCTGGGAAAGTAAAACTGTGCAGCCTCTATGGAAAACAGTACAGTTGTTCCTCAAAAAAATTAAGAAAGTAGAACTACCATATGATCTAGCAATCTCACTTCAGGTTATTTATCTGAAAGAATTGAGATTGGGATGATTCTCAGGCTCATTGCAGCATTATTTACACTAATCAAAATGTGGAAATAAGGTTAATGTTTATTGGCAGATGAATAGATAAAGAAAATGTGGTATATTCATACAACGGAATATTATTCAGCTTTAAAACAAGAAAATCCGGCAATATGCAACATGGATGAACCTAGAGGACATTAATGCTACGTAAAGTAAATCAGTCACAGAAGGACAAACTGTATGATTCCACTTGTATAAAGTATCTAAGATAGCCAAATTAATTAGAATCACAGATTAGAATGGTGATAGCCCTTTAAGTTGAAATCAATTTTACATTCCTGGGTTTTGTAGTTTTGCTATCAGGATTCTGACTCATAAAACAAGTTTGGAATTCCCCCCTTCTTCTGAAATAATTTAAAAATTTTATTTTTTTAAAACGTTTGAAAGAATTCACCAGCAAAACTCTTTGGATGTGGAGTTTGCTTATTTTTTTATTTCTTTAGTTTTATGTTTTTATGTGCAGGTATTTGACAATTTAATTACTTTAATAAATGTCAATTACTTCATATATTCCATTTAATCTTGTGAAATTTTTTATAAGTTTCTTTTCAAGGAATTCACCCTTTCATCCAAGTAATGAAAATTAGTATAAAATGTTTCACAATATTCTATTATCTTGTTAATGTCTCTTGTGTCTACAACTGTACAATCTCATTAATCCCTGATATTTATAATTTGCGTTTTCTTTCTTTCTCACAGAACTAACTTTTGGCCATGTTAATTTTCTCCTGTGTCTGTTTTCTGTCTCATTGATTTCTAATTTCTGTTTTATTTTCTTTCTTCTACTTGTTTTGGACTTAATTTGTTCTCTTGTTTTAGATTTTCTTTTTAAGGTAGAAAATTAGTGCACTTGTTTTGAACTTCTCTTTTTTAGAATAAGCATTTATACAAAAAATTTACTCTGGGTCTGCTTAACTTATCCCACATATTTTGATATAGTATATTTTTATTTGTATTCAGTTCAATGTATTTTAAGGTGTTTCTTATGATTTCTTCCTTGAGCTAAAGGGCATTTTAAGGTGTATTTAAATCTTCCAATAGTGTAGACTTTCCTGGGTAGCTTGTTTTCACCCATTTCAACTCATTTTCATTATGGTCAGAAAGTATACTTTCTATGATTACAGTGTTTTGAAACTTCTTGACAGATATTTTGTGGTCTATAGCCTATTGATAAATGTTTCATGTGTAGCATAATAGAACATATATTCTATTTTCTTGGTCAATATCGATTAGGTCAGGGTGTTGTCAAAATTATTTTACCTTAACTTTCTTTAGTTATTCTATCAGCAATACAGCATTATGTCTTCATAATTACTTGACATTTTATCATTATGAAATAGCTTTCTGTTGTAATATTGCTTGTTTGGAGGTCTACTTTTTCTTATATTAATATAGCCACATAAGATTTCTTGTGCTTGTTGTTTCCTTGGTATACTTGGAAATTATTTAACTCTCAACTTATCTATACCATAATATTTGGCATGCATCTCTTATAGGTACTTTTATTATATAGTTGGACAATCTGTGTTTTATTTGGAGTATTTAAATTACATTTGAAATAATTATTGATAAGGTTGGAGTTAAGCCTACTATTTTTGCTTTTTTTTTTTTTTTTTGAGACGGAGTCTGTCCCTGTCGCCCAGGCTGGAGTGCAGTGGCGGGATCTCGCCTCACTGCAAGCTCTGCCTCCCGGATTCATGCCATTTTCCTGCCTCAGCATCCGGAGTAGCTGGGACTACAAGTGCCCGCCACCATGCCCGGCTAATTTTTGCATTTTTAGTAGAGATGGGGTTTCACCGTGTTAGCCAGGATGGTCTCGATCTCCTGACCTCGTGATCCACTCGCCTCGGCCTCCCAAAGTGCTGGGATTACAGGCTGAGCCACCGCGCCCAGCCTATTTTGCTCTTATCTTCTATTTGTTCCATCATTTTTTGCTCCTCTGTTCTTTCTTTCATGCCTTTTTATATTAACTGAACAATATTCAGCGTTCCATTTTAATTCCTTTATTGGCATTTTAGAAGAATATCTTCATATAATGTGGTGGTTCTCTAGGGATTGTAATAAACATCCTGGGCTTATCGCAGTCCACTTACTGTTAATAGTCAACGTTTTCATGGAACATAAAGAAAAGTTGTGGCAAAATTGTTGCGTTTAGTCTCCTGTCAGAGCTATTAATTTAGAATATTTTACTCTACATACGTTATCAATAGTACTCTTAATTTTTTATTTAAACCATCAGTTGTTTGTTATAAAACTAAAAGAAAAAAGCCTTAGTTTTTCCTGTTTATGCACATGCCATTCCTAGAGCTTCTCCTTACTTCCTGTAGGTCAGAATTTCCATCTGTTGTTATCTTTCTTTAGTCTAAAAAATTTCCGTTTGCATTTCTTGTATCTAGGTCTGCTAATGACAATTGTTCGAAGCTTTCTTTTATCTGAATAAATCTTTATTTTCTCAAGAATTACTTTTTCTAGTTATAGAATTTGGAGCTGACAGTTTTTTTTTTATTTTGAAGATGTAGTTTCATTGCTTTTTAAAGTGTCATTTCTGATGACAGGTAGATGACCTATTTGTTTCCACGTATGTAAATTATTTTCTCCCTCCCTTTAGCTACTTTCAAGATTTACTCTTTTTTTGCCCAGTGTTTTGACTATGGTATGTCTACATTTGGTTCTGTATATTTTTATTCTGTTCTTTGAGTTTCTTAAACCTGTAAGTTGATATATGCTGACAATTAGGAAAACTTTTGGTCTTTACTTTTTCAAATAGCTTTTTCTGTCTCATTTTCTTCTCTACTCTTTCTAGGAGTCCAATTATATTAGTGCTAGACTGGTCATATTTTTATTATTTTTCTCCTTTGTATTAGCTGTATTGGGAAATTGTTCTTGATCTGTTTTTAAGTGCACTGATAGTTTTTTCTGCCATCTTTAATTTACTGGTATGTGCATAAAATGACACTTTTATATAAGATATTCTGTCTCTCAGTTCTAAAATTTGTCCTATTATCCCTTTATCATTTTTACTTCTCTGTTGAGATTCTCCATATATTCTCTCTTATGACCATCTATTCCTTAAATCCTTGAATATGCTTATAATAGCTTATTTTAAATTTCTCATCTTCTAATTCCAGCATGTGGGCCATTTCAATGTCTTAATCCATTGTTTACTTTTTTTGTTATGTGTCATATTTTCCTGGTTCTATGTCTAGGCAGGTTAAATTATATGTTAGATTATGTGTATGATATTTTGTAGAGATAGGCTCTTTTATTTTCCTTTGAAGAGTGACTCTTTTCTAACATTAGTCTTCTTTCTGTAGTCAAACACCAAACTTTCACTCCTGAGCTATATGCAATGGTTGAAATCTCTGCTCTGTACTAGCAATTTAGCTGTTGTTTTCTGCTGGATTCTATGGAGTCTCTTTTTATGAATGTGAAATGTAGCAGCCATCATATATCTGAATGAAGTTTAAGTGCTGATTTTAGATTTTTACTCTGTGACATTCTCCTCTGTGACTTTCAGTTGTGTGAGATTTCCTCCCATGTCATTCAAATTTCCCAATTCTTCTTTTCTGTCAGCCTGGAACTCTGTACTCTTATTCCTCAAGCTAGTAAAACTCACCGCTTTACTCTTAGACATCTAATTTTGCACAGACTTGGAAGTGTCATCAGGTGTGAAGTTACATTGATGCAAATTTAAATCATTGCAATTTTCTTTATTCAATGGTCAAATACTTCATCAGTGGTTGAATATTCTACTATTTCTGCCTGTTTTCTGTTTCTCATTACCATCAAATGTGTATTTAATTTTTTTTAGAGTTAATAGTTTTTTTCCCTGCATTTGAGTTAGACCTGAGCTACTACCACATTTTGTAATTCAAACTTTTTGTCTAACAATGTTTTAAAAAACTCTTTATTTGGAGGGAATTCTCAAATTTCTAAATACTCTACAAACATTAGGATCAGGGCTCACATTCCCAGTTTCCCTTGTAGCCAGATGTGCATATCGAACATGGCCTCAGCTAATGAAGCATACCCACATATTTGAAAGTAAGAAAAGTGTTAAGAGGAACTGTAGATATCATTTTAGTTGATGTAAGGATGGAAAATAAATAACCAACTTTCACTGGTGAACTTTGTCTTCAATCATTGTTTTCCCGTGGGTAAGCAGCTAATTTTCTGGCCTAGAGGTGAAATTGGTGTGTTGGTAAGAATTGATTTAATGATAACCTGCTTTTGTCTTTTTAAAAATTGTGAATCCACCATTGTTTCTGGTCCTGTTTTATACTTATGCAGTGTATAATCTCTCATGCAAAATTTAGTTCTTTGTTTCTCAGCTTAAACTGGATTTTGATGAGCAGTTTTCACCTTCAAATGAAAGAAATGGCTTTGGTTGATGTTAGACAAAAATAACAAGAAGGAATTAAAGAAATTTGTTTGTCATCTTGTAACATTAAATAAATGAAACTGAAAATTCAACAATTCTGTTTCATAAAAAAGTAGAAAGTTTCTACTGTTTTTCATTATTTTCAAAGCTATATCATTAAATGAAATTTCTGCCTCATGGAAGGTTTTTAGAACTATGTAATAATACCATACAGACCATTAGGAGAGAAATGAATAAAGACTGAAAGAAGTAAGCACTGTGTGGTAACATAGATGGTGCACAGTTGTGTGTGTGGAGCCCTAATACATTTGACCATGGAATTTATACAATAAATGTCAGTTTCCTGTGAACCTGCTAATTAATATGACTTTCGCAGACCTTTCCTTAACCTAAACTGTTTAGGTTTCCTGTCGACAGACTGCATGTATTCTCACCTTTAACCTTTCCATAATCTTCCCTAATTACAGATGTCATTGGTTCTTAATAGCAAAAGAACAGCAGTAGCTTATAAAGTTATATTATTTGTTTTTTACTAATATGTGAAGTGATTTTGTCTTTCATTTCACCTCTAGAGCTAATTATGTCTTCTAGGTTAACAAAAATTCCAGATCATACCATCATTAGTTTAAACTTTACAATGAAATCATTATTTCCATTTATTACTAGCCTGCATTATAGCAATGTTTAGCTAATGAATTCTCAAAATATTTCTTGAAAGGTGAAAGAGTACCTCAAGTAAATGATGTAATTAATTTATTTATCAGAATTTTAAATTAAGTGTTCTGTTTAATCTCAAAGGGGTACCAATGAAGTCAGGGCATAAGGACTCTGGTTAATAAAACGGTAAGAATTAAAAAAGATTATTACATTTTTCCTCATACTATGATGGCTATAATTTTTAAAACAGTAGAAATGTTTAATTTTTAAAGGCTACTAGTGTCTATTTCATTCAAAGATGTGAGCTCTTCAGTTCAACTTGTTGTTTGAAATTTGAACAGCTTTTTCTTGCTTTTGTTCAATACAGTTATTTAACAGTCCAGGCAGGCCTCCGGAGTTACATATATGTATGTGGCTATGTGTGTATATATACATAGAAGTACAAATAGCATATAAACAATTTACATAAGACTTTTGCTTTTGATGAAAATTCTTCTAAAAGTGAATATAAATTAATAGCATATGGAGCCTACAAAAATTGTCCAATAGGGAACTAGGAAAAGATAATTTGTGAAGAAAAAGTTTGCTAAAACAGACTTTTTATTTTTACATGTAATAACTTTATATTGAAGGGTTTCCAGAAATATAAAATGTTATAGGGCACTTATCCTGAGACACATGAAGGAGACAAGGGATAGAGCTAGGATGGAAGTGAAAATAAAGGACAAATAGAGATAGATACTTAAGTGGAAATGAAACACTGCATGTTCTCACTCATAGGTGGGAATTGAACAATGAGAACACATACACACAGGAAGGGGAACATCACACACCAGGGCCTGTTGTGGGGTGGGGAGAGGGGGTAGGGATAGTATTAGGAGATATACCTAATGCTAAATGATAAGTTAATGGGTGCAGCACACCAACATGGCACATGTATACATATGTAATTAAATTGCACGTTGTGCACATGTGCCCTAAAACTTAAAGTATAAAAAAAAAATCATCAAACAGGAGGTAATTTCAAAACATGGCTTTTCCAGGCAGCAAATTTTCTGAATGTATCGCAAAAGAAGATAAATTGCATGTCTATGTAGATCATGTCAATGAAATAAACAATAAAGTTACTTATTGGAATATTGAAAGTGGTTGATAATAAATAAATTATTTATATTTATGGTAAAAGCAATAAACTTGATTTTTAGGGGGTTCAATGACTTCCTGAAAATATCCTCTCACAGATTTTCTCAGAGTGTCTAGTTGGCAAAAGCACAGCTCCAAATAGCTATTTCTGTCAACGTCTACAGAACATTTACAGTTTGATTTCTAAAAGTTTCCATTTCTACTGACCTTACAAATTTGTAAAGTGAATGCCCACCAGGACAAAATATTAAGTGATAAAATTAATTGGATCCTACAAGTGCAAATCTAGGCAAGGAAAATCTTCTTCCTTCTTAATGAATGATTTTTATGTCTCTTCATTCTTGTCCTTCTAGGTAGAGCAACACTCTGGAGACCTTCTTTTGAGGCATTTCACCACCAGAGTAAGTGTGATGTGTGAGTAATTAGTCCACCCACAGGGAGCTGGTGAAATTAAATTGGAAGTTATTTCCTAACTGGCATATCTTGGAGTAAAATTAATCTAATAACAGCTTTCATAAGAGAGCATAAGCTTAAAAGACAACATTTTTCATTCAACTTTACCAAACAAAGTGCAAATTTAGGTGTCCAGTTGTGAAGTTTTGTTGTGTGTGGATTGTACAGTGAAGGTACCAGTGGACAACAGTTGCTCATCAAGCAAGTTTATACAAAAGCTTTCGGACAAGTCCAACTCTAGATAAAATTCTAAAGTATTTCATGCTTGTGTTCAGAGTTTCTTTTTCTCTCTCCAAGGTAACCCACATATCAAAAGACATATGGGTTGTGGGTAGAACTTCCTAAAATTGCTGGTGAGAAGTGTGCCATGCATAAGCATACTTCACTAGCTTGAATTTTCTGTTAGTCTCACAGGCAACAATTACAATCCTGTATGATTTTCTATCTCCACACACTCCTGAATATAGAAAGACCAAGTAACATCCCTGGTTAAGATGTGTACAGGTTCCAAGACATGTCTAAATATATTCACCAAGAGGTTTATTATTTTCACAGTGGCATTCACTAAATCAGTTGTCAGTGTAGCATTACTCAAGGAATAAGCAGGGTCTTTAATTTATCAAAGTTTGGAGTGCACCCCAAGTTGGATCACTGAAGCACATAACTATAGATAAGATCACTCAAAAGCACAAATCCAGGTAATAAATATTCACTAGTAGTTTATATGCATTTAGCAATTTGAATGCTGGGAAGTGTAGCCCAGAAAATCAATCGACATGGAGCTATTAAAGAGGCATTCATGGCACCTGCACTTTGAATCTCTTCAGACTCAGGTTAAACAGGAGACATGTTAGCTCATGTATAGTGCAAAAACCCGTCCTCTTTCCCTTTTTATCTATGAACCTGCCCTTTTCAATGTTATCTAGATGCCTGAAGGTATGAATACCCTTGATCTTGGTAAAAAATGGTACCACCCGTCAGCAAAATCTCACTGATCAGTGTCTATGTTACCTCACTGAGTTAGCCTTTTGTGTTGTTGTGGCCCAGAATGACAATGTTGACACAATCCAAACCAGTAGTTGGGAAGTTAATGTTGGATGCGTCTTTGACAATTGATGGAATGACCTGAAATCAAATGTGAGGCAGTGGAGACACAAGAATGCTATTCAGGAAGTTAGTGATCTGTGGAGATACTAAATGAAATATCTGGAAGGAAATGTAATCTTGCAACTATGCTTTTATGTGTTTTTTGACATAAACAGTTTCTATTTATGGTGGAGCTAGAGTGTCCATTTCCCATGAAGTTCCCATAGTGTTAACTAATACAGTCATGTGTCACTTAATGACAGGGGTGTGTCTGAGAAATGCATTGCTGGACGATATTATTATTGTGTGAACATCACAGAGTTTACTTACACAAACCTAGATGCTATAGCTGATTACATATCTAGGTTAGGTGGTATAGCCTATTCCTCCTAGGCTACAAACCTGTGCAGCATGTTATTGTACTGAATACTGTAGGCAATTGTAACACAACAGTTAAGTATATCTATACTTACTTATATCTATACAGTAAGTGTATCTATACATGTCTAAACATACAAGAGGTACAGTAAAAGTACAGCGTTATGATTTTATTGCACCACTGTCATACATGTGCACTATCCTTGACCAAAATGTTGTTATGTGATGCATGATTGTAACAAAAGAATTAATTAAATATAATATTGAAGTGCCTATTGAGATTTCAATGAAGAGAGGAATATTTGTAAATTCTGATTACCTTAAGTGGGAATTGACTTTCTTCCTGTTTCCATGGCTGTTCTTGTGAAAGAGCATAGCTTTCCAAAGACCTGAAATCTCTGACAAATCTTGCAATTCTCTATTGCCTGCATTATGAAAGTCACCTGGTATCAAATGAGGCAAAATTGTAGATTATAAAGACCTGTACTTGTCAGTTCCTAAACATAGCAAGCCTTGGTCTATCTTGAACATTTCTGCAGTTATAAATGAGCCTTGGGTCATGATTTTCTGCCTTTTTATCATAGACAAGATTTAATTTAGGAGATGTCCTTTTAATGTGTAATGTGAATAGTAAGTGACACTTATGAAGCCTATTTTCTTCCAGCCATTTTAATTGTCAAATCTGTCCAGTCAAGATGCATTGTTAGAGGCTTCACTGACAACACCGTCTGTGTGTGTGGCTGTGTGTGTGTGTATACATACACATGGTTGAGCAGGATTTATTGTAAGTCAAAACAGTCTCAAATTTCTTTGGACAATACAGCTTCCTTGGCCATTCCCTTGGAGCTCTGAGTTGAGGAGCTGGTGATGTGTATTTCTCTTGCATGTTCTCCACATTATCCCTATGCAGGTCTTCCATGGGCTTGGTTTTGGAACCAGTGATGAGGAAGATCACTAGAATTGTTGTTGTCAAAAAGATGCCTCCATTCTTCTGTATAAGCAATGGCAATTTTCCCTGACCAATATTTCTTCTTTTGAAATGGTAAATTTTGAATATTAACTGATTAATATAATCCCATAAAATAACAAAGTTTGAGCCCTATGATCTGTATTTTAGGCTAAAGTTGTGTTTTATGCTAAATCATCATTTACTCCATGTATGATCTTTTTTTTTTTTTTTTTTTGAGACAGAGTCTCACACTGTCACTCAGGCTGGAGTGCAGTGGCACAATTTTGGCTTACTGCAAGCTCCGCCTCCCAGGTGCACACCATCCTCCTGCTTCAGCCTCCTGAGTAGCTGGGACTACAGGTGCCCACCACCACACCCAGCTAATTGTTTTTTAAGATTAAGGGCGAAATAAAAGCTGCTCTCCTATATTACATTCATAAATCAGAATTATTAAAGCAAGCTATTTATTTATTACAAACACATACTCCAAATTTAGCATCTAAGACATGACAGTCTTTCAAGAGACATCAATTTACTTTTTAGGGTCTATAGCTATATTTGTATTCATGTTATTGGTGTCCATAATATTTCATTAGATGTTCTGGGTAAATTGATAAATGAAAATAACGTATGTGATAAGGAGAACAACCTAGGTCTCCTGGAGGGCCCCTTACAACTCAGCTGGTGTTAGCAGAAATGCCTGGGTGTAACAGTGAGAAACAACCTTTCAAAAGTATTGAGCAATTTTTCAGGCAGAGGAATATGTATGCCAATCCAGGCAGCCAGATAAGTGGAGGTCAGTTAAAAGATCAGTGTGTGATTACATTTTTTTTTTAAGGTTTCTACTGAGAGGAAATATAACTCTCAGTTATTATTTTCTCTGCATATCTCTGGTTATTTTGTCACAACTTTTTATGTAAGCTACTACCAAACACTGGGTTATCCAAGATCTATGGGTCGTATTCAATATTTGCTTTTCCCTCAACTACTAACACGTTTGATTCCCTTTGTAACTTTCTCCCCTATTTCTCCTTTGAACCTGTTTTCCCCAACCACACTGAGTTAATAAGCCTCCTATATACTCTCATACCCTGTTTTATCTAAAGAGATTTCCTTTTTCTACTATTATACCCATCTCATTCCTTAATTTTTTCTTCTTATTTCTCTCTCTATTTTTTACTCTTTTAGGCACAGCTCATGTCTCATGACTTTCAAAAAGTTTTTCTTCTGATATTCCCAGCTCGAATTAGGTATATCCCAATCAGTTTCCTTAGAATTACAAGTCTGCATATTATTGGCTTGCAATCTGTCTTAGGCTGGGAATTGGCTCCTTGTAGGCAGGGACTAGAATTTATTTCCTCTTATGTCCATAATGCCTGACACAGGAACTATTCTCACATACAAATTGTAGGGCCATAATTCCTGAGAACATATGTATATTTTAGTGACTCATAAAGGCTTGAAATACATTTTTAAAATGATTAATTGGGAAGTCCATGAACTTGACATCTTGATGTAGAAGAAAAGCAAGGGCAGATGAAGAAGTTATACACGATACTTGAAATACCAGAAGAATATAATCAGAGAGCAATAAATTAATCCTAGATTTTTAGATGTGAAGAAGTTCTGAGAAATATTTGAAGACTTGGCTCTAGGGATGAGTACATAACAGAGACCAGTAGCCAGACTCAGAGCTTTAAAGAGTGAAGAAATGGCATTGCAGGGGGAAGGACTGTTGTATACTAAATAGAAATTGTCATTAAATGGAAGACTAAGCAAGAGGCTGATGATCTGTGGATGAGAGACCAAAATGGTGTGGAGATAGAGGTAAATGCCATAATCTACAAAGAAGATATTTTTGTGCCAGAACGAAATGATAGGTCTAGAATGTAATAAAAGATAAATAGTTAACTACATTGTAATGTGGTCTGAGAACTCACTGAAGGCATAGCCATTGATATTAACTTCCACTTTGCTTCCAGACAAAAGATTTTAAATATCTTAAAAATTACATTTGATATTGTATGATTCATCAAGACAAAGTAAAGCTGTAGTTGCCCTGGGGGGGTGGGGAATGGGGAGTCACTTTTAATGGGTACAGGATTTCAATTTTAAAAGACAAAAAGAATTATGGAGATGGGTGGTGGTGATGCTTGCACAACATTGTGAATACATTTAATGACACCGAATTGTATAATTAACAGTGGTTAAGATGCAAATTGTTGAGTGTGTTTTGCCACAATTAAAAAACAGAAAACAATAGTATTTGAAGATATAGCCCATTTCATCTGGTAGCTAGCTGTATGTGTCTGCTCAGCTGTGGATAGATATTTATGCTGTTTCTGAACTGGAGGTTACTGGTATTCTCTAAGGTATAGGAAAATTGATCTTATGTGGCTAACTGAGGTGGATATAGTTGTATCAGTCAGACAGTAATGATATAATCATGAGAGTTTACATTTAACACAACTTACATGTGTTATACTTTAGAAAGCACTTCATAGATATTATTACTTCATACCATTTTCCCCTTACCATATTTGTCTCTCCTTTCTCTGCTGACTTCACAAAATGTCTGTTCCACACTACTCAGTTCATCTCCTTATTTTGTCAAAATTTTAAGTATCAGAGTCTCCAAAAAAAAAATTCCAGACAAGTCTCATCAGCTTTCGGTCATTGATTAATCGATGCTCTTAGGGGGTTTCCCTTCCCCTTCTCAATTTAACATAGCTTCCCAATTCACTTGCCAGTAAAACAACGTTGTTTATATGGTTTTGTATTTCTTCCTGCTGAATTATGAACATTTTTTCATATTGACATTGATTTCCATCTGGCCATGAAATACTCAAGGTGAAGAAAATGAAACAAAATTGTTAATATTTATCAAGAGCCAGGTACTGTTTTCAGTGTCCTAGAAGCATAAACTAGTGTAATGCTCACCAGCTCATATGAGAGGCAAAAATGGATGAAACTATAAAACCAAGACACAGAGAGTTAAGGGAAATTTCCCAAGATCACACAGCCACTGAGGCTATGAACTAGATTTTGACTTCAGGCTGTTTACCCCAGAACCTGTGCTTTCAACCGTCATTTGTACTGCTTCCCTAAATTACACTTGAGTACACTGTGACATCAAATTTCACCTATGACACTGATTATCTGGGGAACTTTGCAACTTATTCTGAATATGACTCAGTTTTATTTTCTGTACAGAGGTAAAGTCAGTATATACTCCATAGATTTGTTATAAGGATTATATGAAATGACACAAGAGAAGGCTTTAAAAGGACTTGGAAAGCAATAAGCTTTTTTGTTTTCAATCATTTTTCAATAGGTTATCAGTGTTGTGAATGGTTCATGAAAAATGACTTTGGGCTCAGTGAGTAACTGAAATGTTGTTGTTTAATAGTGTGTTTAATATTAATATAATAGTAACAAATGTTGTTATTGTTGAGTAATAGTTATTTGGCTTTTCGCTGCTTTTCTTTTCTAGTGTTTTAGTCAGAGACTTCTTAAGTCTCCTCAAGTGTGTACACATTTCTTAAATTTGTTGGAAAGTACCAAATTTAAGATATCTTGCATTTTTTTTCTTCCTTAGTAAACACTAAATTCCATCACACAGCAGAAAAAGGGCTCTGTTATTGTCGGTACAATGGTTTAATATTCACTTTTATTCCCTATATCATAGTTCTGATTTAATTACTATTTAGAATAAAACTTGTTCCTTATTATATGCATTCATAATTATAAAATTTGTGTTTTAATGCCTTCTACAAATATACTGTGCTTTTCTTTATTTCCTTATATCTTTTACTGTTGCATGATCCTGGTATTTGAAATCTCATTAAGTGTTGTTTGGGGATTTGCTGGGAATGTCATCTACATAGTAATGTCTCAAGTTTGTAGCATCTTTAAAACATAATAGGAGACGGAATTCACAGCAGAGTAATAAGCCTCCCACTTTAGGCAATATATTTGTGATTGACATGACTTTGTTCCCAGAGGGCAGTTAGCAACACAATATTATGGCTATGTGTACAAGGAAAACAAATTTTAAAAATCTCCTTTAAAAAAAACAGTTCCCAATCCTAACCAGTATCATGCACAGAATCCGTTTCCACCTCTTCATATGGAAGCAGCTCTGGGTGGACATCTAGAAAGTTGGATAACTATTTATCACATATGATCTGCAAAGGGAGAGATTTACAAGAAAGTATTAAATTTGATCCATAGGAAAGCAAAATCAAAAATCAATGAATTTTCCATTTGTAGTTTTCCCTAGGGGCTCTACTCTCAAGATGGCTTAAATGCATTAGAATTCAATGACTAGGCACAATTGTTTGTTAGTGACATAAAAGCAAGGTAAGCATTTCTGCTTTATGAGTCCAAGCACAGGGACACTTGGTTTTATTTGGAAGGATATCATAAAGGCAATGTTTATGAGTAATCCCTCATTGTCTTTTCTTCTGTAACATTCAATGCTATGTACTAAAATTTAGAAATGAAAACTACTTAAAGACCACCTGCTAAGTTTCATGTATTTCAAATTCTCAGATCCTGAGTGTTTAAATATGTCTGTATTTCTTCATGAAAAAAACATAATCTTTGCCAAGTTAGAAAAAGAAAAACTCATATTCCCATTTTTAACTAAAGGTAATCAGAAATTTGGACAGTTTTTAGCCTTCAATACATTATGTAATTTGGGTAACAGGCTGAATAAAAGTAAGGAACTTCAGTTAAATTCAGAGAGAAGCTAGTAATTATTTCTAAGACTCAAATGTATAGAACAGATCTCTGATATTAAGGATAAGACCCTCAAAGGTGACACAAAATGGGTAATTGTGGGATTATTTTAGGAGGAATCATCATATATTCTTACTGCTATAAATACAGTCAAATGTCAGATAAATATACTCCACTGAAATGTTTTCTAGGAATGATGTTGGAACCAATGTTGATAATTTTGAAAGTCATGGAGAGGATTTCAGATGATAGAAGTCGGGCAAATATCCCAGGTTTAATAAATAAGCAAATGGTGAGTTCCAAAGCTGCTGTATCAGTGAGCCTCATATTGATCCTGAGCACAATTTCAGAAAGGTCCATTAAATGGGTCTTTGGAGAGCACTTAGGATAAGAGGCTGGCAGCAAAGATTCACTAAGAACAATGGTGCCAAGCTTGCCTCTTTGACATTGTTATCTGACTGATAAAGGTAGGCTATAGCGGTACACAATACAGATATTTCCAGGGTAAAGCTGTTGAGCTGCTGTAATTTTCCTTGCCTCTTCACTATCTTCTCCTATAGTTGACTCCCAAGGAAAAGATAGTTGACTTTTAATCTAGAAATGTATGTTAATTGGCAAAAACAAAAAAATGAAACCATAAAATATCCTTTAGGCTTCTCTCTGCTCAGTTATTAGATCATATGAATGTGCCCTTAGGAAACACAGAAGGCCCACACTATTATAGAGACAAATTTCTTACATTTTCTGCTGTTTAATGCTCTTCAAAAGACTTACCATACTTCACTAATTTGATTACCAACTACTTGAACACAGGGACCAATGTGTTTATTAAAAATTTTGCATATTATGAGGGCATTAACTTTTAATTATTCAATTGTTAAGACAATGCATATTATTATAAACCATAGAAGGCACACTTATTACCTCCTTAAGAACCAGTCTCTATTTCTCTGGTTCATAGATCTCCAAGTTTATAGAGGGATTGGACATTTGTGTCTTCAATTGGCCCTCTTCAGCCCTAGGATAAATAGTGATTAATCTAAGCCAATAGTTTTCGGCTCTGTCTGACCCAATGCCTCTACTTCATAAGAAATTCTTCAAAGACCCCTTCGCTATTCTAAATTATTAGTGAGAACACAATGTATGCATTCAAGTTGTTGAAAATATTAATGTTATGCTGAAGCTAACAAAGGAGAAATAATTTACTGTCAATATATAATCCAAAATGTATATAATTGTGCCAGAACATTTACATATCAAATACAATAGAACATAATGAAATTTTCATATCTTCGCCCATACCTTGAAACATTGTAAATAAAAAGTTACAAATATAGTTTCATTGAATAACCAAATGCCAAAACTGCCATTTCTATTGTTGACATGATTGAACTGCATTGGTAAATGTAATAGATACTTTCTGTTTGGCCCTTGTCCCCTGTTATACTCCCCTGTTTACTGGCTTTTGTCCAAGTGGAATGGTCCATATTGAATATCTCCATCGGTTCCCTTGTTCATTGCCTTCTATGCATGTTCATGAGATTAAAGGGAAGGAGGAAATGGGATTGGGGGTTATTGCCTAAACTCCCTCTCTGCTAGGTCTCCTGGACCAATCTTTTTCATAAGAAAATTAGTGGGCCGGGCGCGGTGGCTCACGCCTGTAATCCCAGCACTTTGGGAGGCCGAGGCGGGTGGATCATGAGGTCAGGAGATCGAGACCATCCTGGCTAACAAGGTGAAACCCCGTCTCTACTAAAAATACAAAAAAAATTAGCCGGGCGCGGTGGCGGGCGCCTGTAGTCCCAGCTACTCAGGAGGCTGAGGCAGGAGAATGGCGTGAACCCGGGAAGCGGAGCTTGCAGTGAGCCGAGATTGCGCCACTGCAGTCCGCAGTCCCGCCTGGGCGACAGAACGAGACTCCGTCTCAAAAAAAAAAAAAAAAAAAAAAAAGAAAATTAGTGTTTCCTTCTGTGATCAGGGCAGTTTACTCCCCAGAACTCTGCCTGCCACTGCTAAACCAGAGTTATTGTGGGGTGTGATTTCTGTGATTCCTTCACCCTTCTCCCCTGACATTTTCGTAAGTAGTCTCTTTGGAAATAAACCCAAGTTAAATTATCTTAGTTGGTGTGTTTTCTATTTTTCCTATTGAGACTCTGAAATGAGTATCTAAATGAAAAAATCTACCATCTTTTCTCATATACATAGTAGTTTCATTCTTGCAAAATTCATGGCATATTAAAACCATGCAAAAGTACTTGGCACTTAGGCAGTTACATTTGGGATTGTATAATTAAACAAAGCAGGTTATTCACCTTCATTACATTAGAAAGTCATTCAGGACATACAGCAATCCTTAATTAGGAGCGGCTATCCCATGTTACTGGACATATGGTATCCCTGTTTTCCAATCCTTAAAGTTTTTCCTTAAAGTTCCAAAATGCCGTCACTTATTATTTCCTGCCATTGAATTTTGTCACATGAAGTTGTAAGGCTGGGAATGCCATAGCCATCTTGAAAACATAGGTAGAAAGATAAGATAATCACAAAGAAGTGGATCATGTTGAATTAACTAAGCATTGATACCATCTATTTGTTGTGCGATTTGGTCAAAGTTGCTCCTTGTTTTTTTCTTCAATTAGTTGACTATTCTGTTACTTGAAGCTAAAAACATTTTTTTCTTTTCTTTCTTTCTTTTTTATTTTTGACAGAACCTTACTCTGTTGCCCAGGCTGGAGTGCAATGGCATGATCTTGGCTCACTGCAACCTCTGCTTGCCTAGTTCAAGCAATTCTCACACCTCAGCCTCCCTAGTAGCTGGGATTACAGGCACATGCCACCACACTCAGATAATTTTTGTATTTTTAGTAGAGATGGGGTTTCACCCTGTTTGCCAGGCTGGTCTCAAACTCCTGACCTCAAGTGATCTGCCCACCTCAGCCTACCAAAGTGCTGGGATTACAGGTGTAAGCCACTGACCCTGCCCAAAAACATTTTAACCAATAGCAAAGCACATTATTTCATTATATTTTTTCAAAAGTTGCCAGTAATTTCAATTAAAAATATTATATAACATGTTTAATGCAATACAAATGCTTTTCAATGTACAATGGGGTTAAGTCTTGATAAGCTGATTATAAATTGAAAATACAGTAAGTTAAAAATGTATTTAATATCTAACTTACTGAATATCACAGCTTAGCCTGGCATACCTTTAATGTGCTCAGAACACTTACATCAGCTGACAATTGGGCAAAATCGTTGAATACAAAACCTGCTTTATAATAAAGTATTGGATATTTTATGTAATTTGTTGAATATTGTACTGAAAGTGAAAAGCAGAATGGTTATATTCTATTCAAAGCTATCACTTTTGCTTCATCATAAAGTAAAAAAAATCATAAATTGAACCATTATCAGTTGTTGACCATCTGTGTATATGTATGTGTGTGTGTACCTATATAAACATGTATGTTTATATATATATTTGTGTGTGTATATAACCTCGGTGTGTGTGTATGTGTGTTTGAGAGTGTGTGTGTGTGTGTGTGTGTGTGTGTGTGTATGAAATTGTAGGGAAGTAAAATTTCTTATCTTATAGATATAGCATGTTAACATGTTGGTACCTATCCTCCTGAGATGTAAAATTTTACATGGATAGATATGTACATTTACAGTTGTACACAAAGAGAAACATATTCTGTAGCCTCTTTGTTTTTCTGCAGTTTCATTCAACACTATCTGGTTTATATGGGTGATTACATATATAATGCTAGGATTAAGGTTCTTCTCTATAACTTTGAAACTTCCTTGATTATCAACCCTTGGTATATTCTTAGAATAGGATTTTATTTTAGAATTAAGATCCTTGTTTCAGGACTCTAGACTGTTAACACACAGAGCCAATAATTATTCAGAATGGTTGGGTTAGTTCACATTCCCACAGAGGAGACATCAAATGTCCAGGCTGCACAGCCTCATTAACACTAGATTTTCTGGACATTTTATATAGTATTTCATCTGATATAAAAAGTAGAATTCTAATTTGATTATGGTTGTTAATTTATTTTTACATTTTTAGTCATTATGAAAATGTTTTACTATATGAAAAGCCAGGAAAGGGTTTTTTTTTTAAGGTAGTACTTCAGAAATATTTATGATACTTAATTTTTAAAAATTAACTCTAAAAGAATCTTGAAATGTCTGTTTAATAAAATAGGACATAAATACTGGTCACATTAGTGAAAAATATTTGTTTAAAATTAAAATATCTGCAGCAATCCTGTAGATATTAATAAGTTTTTAAAGAATGACATCTTCAAAATATAACTGTTCTAAACTAATATGTCTCCATTAATACATATAGATACATATATCTAAATAAATTTGAAGACTTCAAATTCCAGGTACAATATAATTTTTTTCTATCCTTTGATTTGTCATTCAGGATTTTGTAATTTGAACAGAAATATTTTGCCCTAACCACATGTCTGTCTTTTCTCTTACTAAAAATATTATTTTATGTAAAATTGTTTTAAAGGTCAGTTAGCACGTTTGAAAAGCATCTTGTACAATGTTACATAATATATTGCATATTTGGTTACATTGTTTTAACTGTGTAAATATGGTTTAAATCTGTGATGCTCTTTAGTGCTGATCATGATGCAAATCAAATTTATCTGTATAAAAGGCTCCTGTTAATTTTTTTTATTATACTTTAAGTTTTAGGGTACATGTGCACAACGTGCAGGTTTGCTACATATGTACACATGTGCCATGTTGGTGTGCTGCACCCATTAACTCCTCATTTAACATTAGGTATATCTCCTAATGCTATCCCTACCCCCTCCACCCACCCCACAACAGTCCCCGGTGTGTGATGTTCCCCTTCCTGTATCCATGTTTCCTCATTGTTCAATTCCCACCTATGAGTGAGAACATGTGGTGTTTGATTTTTTGTCCTTGTGATAGTTTGCTGAGAATGATGGTTTCCAGCTTCATCCATGTCCCTACAAAGGACATGAACTCATCATTTTTTATGGCTGCATGGTATTCCATGGTGTATATGTGTCACATTTTCTTAATCCAGTCTATCATTGTTGGACATTTGGGTTGGTTCCAAGTCTTTGCTATTGTGAATACTGCCACAATAAACATACGTGTGCATGTGTCTTTAGAGCAGCATGATTTATAATCCTTTGGGTATATACCCAGTAATGGGATGGCTGGGTCAAATGGTATTTCTAGTTCTAGATCCCTGAGGAATCACCACACTGACTTCCACAATGGTTGAACTAGTTTACAGTCCCATCAACAGTATAAAATGTTCCTATTTCTCCACATCCTCTCCAGCACCTGTTGTTTCCTGACTTTTTTATGATCGCCATTCTAACTGGTGTGAGATGGTATCTCATTGTGGTTTTGATTTGCATTTCTCTGATGGCCAGTGATGATGAGCATTTTTTCATGTGTCTTTTGGCTGCATAAATGTCTTCTTTTGAGAAGTGTCTGTTCATTTCCTTTGCCCACATTTTGATGGGGTTGTTTGTTTTCTTCTTGTGAATTTGTTTGAGTTCATTGTAGATTCTGGATATTAGCCATTTGTCAGATGAGTAGGTTGCAAAACTTTTCTCCCATACTGTAGGATGTCTATTCACTCTGATGGTAGTTTCTTTTGCTGTGCAGAAGCTCCTTAGTTTAATTAGATCCCATTTGTCAATTTTGTCTTTTGTTGCCATTGCTTTTGGTGTTTTAGACATGGAGTCCTTGCCCATGCCTATGTCCTGAATGGTATTGCCTAGGTTTTCTTCTAGGGTTTTTATGGTTTTAGGTCTAACATGTAAGTCTTTAATCCATCTTGAATTAATTTTTGTATAAGGTGTAAGGAAGGGATCCAGTTTCAACTTTCTACATATGGCTAGCCAGTTTTCCCAGTACCATTTATTAAATAGGGAATCCTTTCCCTATTTCTTGTTTTTGTCAGGTTTGTCAAAGATCAGATAGTTGTAGATATGCGGCATTATTTCTGAGGGCTCTGTCCTGTTCCATTGGTCTATATCTCTGTTTTGGTACTAATACCATGCTGTTTTGGTTACTGTAGCCTTGTAGTATAGTTTGAAGTCAGGTAGCATGATGCCTCCAGCTTTGTTCTTTTGCCTTAGGATTGACTTGGCAATGCAGGCTCTTTTTTGGTTCCATATGAACTTTAAAGTAATTTTTTTCCAATTCTGTTAAGAAAGTCTTTGGTAGTTTGATGGAGATGGCATTGAATCTTTAAATTACCTTGGGCAGTATGGCCATTTTCACGATATTGATTCTTCCTACCCATGAGCATGGAATGTTCTTCCATTTGTTTGTATCCTTTTTTATTTCATTGAGCAGTGATTTGCAGTTCTCCTTGAAGAGGTCCTTCACATCCCTTGTAAGTGGTATTCCTAGGTATTTTATTCTCTTTGAAGCAATTGTTAATGGGAGTTCACTCATGATTTGGCTCTCTGTTTGTCTGTTATTGGGGTATAAGAATGCTTGTGATTTTTGCACATTGATTTTGTATCCTGAGACTTTGCTGAAGTTGCTTATCAGCTTAACGAGATTTTGGGCTGAGACGATGGGGTTTTCCACATTCACAATCATGTCATCTGAAAACAGGGACAATTTGACTTCCTCTTTTCCTAATTGAATGCCCTTTATTTCCTTCTCCTTCCTGATTGCCCTGGCCAGAACTTCCAACACTATGTTGAATAGGAGTGGTGAGAGAGGGCATCCCTGTTTTGTGCCAGTTTTCAAAGGGAATGCTTCCAGTTTTTGCCATTCAGTATGATATTGGCTGTGGGTTTGTCATAGATAGCTCTTATTATTTTGAGATACGTCCTATCAATCCCTAATTTATTGACAGTTTTTAGCATGAAGATTTGCTGAATTTTGTCAAAGGCCTTTTGTGCATCTATTGAGATAATCATGTGGTTTTTGTCTTTGGTCCTGTTTATATGCTGGATTACGTTTACTGATTTTCATATGTTGAACCAGCCTTTCATCCCAGGGATGAAACCCGCTTGATCATGGTGGATAAGCTTTTTGATGTGTTGTAGGATTCTGTTTGCCAGTATTTTATTGAGGATTTTTGCATCACTGTTCATCAAGGATATTGGTCTAAAATTCTCTTTTTTTTTTTGTCTCTGCCAGGCTTTGGTATCAGGATGATACTGGCCTCATAAAATGAGTTAGGGAGGATTCCCTCTTTTTCTATTGATTGGAAAAGTTTCAGAAGGAATGGTACCAGCTCCTCCTTGTGCCACTGGTAGAATTTGGCTGTGAATCCATCTGGTCCTGGACTTTTTTTGGTTGGTAAGCTATTAATTATTGCCTCAATTTCAGAGCCTGTTATTGGTCTATTCAGAGATTCTACTTCCTGGTTTAGTCTTGGGAGGATGTATGTGTCGAGGAATTTATCCATTTCTTCTAGATTTTCTAGTTTATTTGTGTAGAGGTGTTTATAGTATTCTCTGATGGTAGTGTGTATTTCTGTGGGATTGGTGGTGATATCCCCTTTGTCAATTTTTATTGCATCTATTTGATTCTTCTCTCTTTTCTTCTTTATTAGTCTTGCTAGTGGTCTATCAATTTTGTTGATCTTTTCAAAAAACCAGCTCCTGGATTCATTGATTTTTTGAAGGGTTTTTTGTGTCTCTATTTCCTTCAGTTCTGCTCTGATCTAAGTTACTTCTTGCCTTCTGTTATCTTTTGAATGTGTTTGTTCTTGCTTCTCTAGTTCTTTTAATTGTGATGTTAGGATGTCAATTTTAGTTCTTTCATGCTTTCTCTTGTGGGCATTTAGTGCTATAAATTTCCCTCCACACACTGCTTTGAATGTGTCCCAGAGATACTGGTATGTTGTGTCTTTGTTCTTGTTGGTTTCAAATAACATCTTTATTTCTGCCTTCATTTCCTTATGTACCCAGTAGTCATTCAGGAGCAGGTTGTTCAGTTTCCATGTAGTTGAGTGGTCTTGAGTGAGTTTTTAAATCCTGAGTTGTAGTTTGATTGCACTGTGTTCCGAGAGACAGTTTGTTATACTTTCTGTTCTTTTACATTTGCTAAGGAGTGCTTTACTTCCAACTATGTGCTCAATTTTGGAATAGGTGTGGTGTGGTGCTGAAAAGAATACATATTCTGTTGATTTGGGGTACAGAGTTCTGTAGATGTCTATTAGGTCTGCTTAGTGCAGAGCTGAGTTCAATTCCTGTATATCCTTGTTAACTTTCTGTCTCGTTGATCTGTCTAATGTTGACAGTGGGGTGTTAAAGTCTCCCATTATTATTGTGTGGGAGTCTAAATCACTTTGTAGGTCACTAAGGACTTGCTTTATGAATCTGGGTGCTTCTGTATTGTGTGCATATATATTTAGGATAGTTAGTTCTTGTTGAATTGATCCCTTTACCATTATGTAATGGCCTTCTTTGTCTCTTTTGATCTTTGTTGGTTTAAAGTCTGTTTTATCCGAGACTAGGATTGCAACCCCTGCCTTTTTTTGTTTTCCATTTGCTTGGTAGATCTTCCTCCATCCCTTTATTTTGAGCCTATGTGTGTCTCTGCACGTGAGATGGGTTTCCTGGATACAGCACACTGATGGGTCTTGACTCTTTATCCAATTTGCCAGTCTGCACCTTTTAATTGGAGCATTTAACCCATTTACATTTAAGGTTAGTATTGTTATGTGTGAACTTGATCCTGTCATTATGACGTTAGCTGGTTATTTTCCTCGTTAGTTTATGCAGTTTCTTCCTAGCCTTGATGGTCTTTACAATTTGGCATGGTTTTACAGTGGCTGGTACCAGTTGTTCCTTTCCATGTTTAGTGCTTCCTTCAGGAGATCTTTTAGGGCAGGCCTGGTGGTGACAAAATCTCTCAGCATTTGCTTGTCTGTGGAGCATATTATTTCTCCCTCACTTATGAAGGTTAGTTTGGCTGGATATGAAATTCTGGGTTGAAAATTCTTTCCTTTAAGAATGTTGAATATTGGCCCCTACTCTCTTCTGGCTTGTAGAGTTTCTGCAGAGAGATCAGCAGTTAGTCTGATGGGCTTCCTTTTGTGGGTAACCCGACCTTTCTCTCTGGCTGCCTTTAAAATCTTTTCTTTCATTTCAACTTTGGTGAATCTGACAATTATGTGTCTTGGAATTGCTCTTCTCGAGGAGTATCTTTGTGGCATTCTCTGTATTTCCTGAATGTGAATGTTGGCCTGCCTTGCTAGATTGGGGAAGTTCTCCTGGATAATATCCTGCAGAGTGTTTTCCAACTTGGTTCCATTCTCCCCGTCACATTCAGGTAAACCAAATAGACGTAGATTTGTTCTATTGACATAGTCCCATATTTCTTGGAGGCTTTGTTCATTTCTTTTTATTCTTTTTTCTCTAAACTTCTCTTCATGCTTCATTTCATTCATTTCATCTTCCATCGCTGATACCCTTTCTTCCCGTTGATCACATCGGTTACTGAGGCTTATGCATTTGTCGTGTAGTTCTCGTGCCATGGTTTTCAGCTCCATCAGGTCCTTTAAGGACTTCTCCACATTGGTTATTCTAGTTATCCATTCGTCTAATTTTTTTTTCAAAGTTTTTAACTTCTTTGCCATTGGTTCGAACTTCCTCCTTTAGCTCGGAGTACTTTGATCTTCTGAAGTCTTCCTCTCTCAACTCGTCAAAGTCATTCTCCGTCCAGCTTTGTTCCATTGCTGATGAGGAGTTGCATTCCTTTGGAGGAGGATAGGCACTCTGATTTTTAGAGTTTCCAGTTTTTCTGCTCTTTTTTTCCCCATCTTTGTGGTTTTATCTACCTTTGGTCCTTGATGATGGTGACATACAGATGGGGTTTTGGTGTGGATGTCCTTTCTGTTTGTTAGTTTTCCTTCTAACAGTCAGGATCCTCAGCTGCAGGTCTGTTGGAGTTTACTGGAGGTCTCCTCCAGACACTATTTGCCTGGGGGGTATCAGCAGTGGTGGCTGCAGAACAGTGGATATTGGTGAACTGCAAATGCTGCTGCCTGATCGTTCCTCTGGAGGTTTTGTCTCAGAGGGGTACCCGGCCATGTGAGGTGTCAGTCTGTGCCTACTGGGGGGTGCCTCCCTGTTAGGCTACTCGGGGTTCAGGGACCCACTAGGTGGGGGTTGTCTGCCCGTTCTCAGATCTCAAGCTGCGTGCTGGGAGAACCACTATTCTCTTCAAAGCTGTCAGACAGGGACATTTAAGTCTGCAGAGGTTATTGCTGTCTTTTGTTGGTCTGTGCCCTGCCCCCCGAGGTGGAGCCTACAGAGGCAGGCTGTCCTCCTTGAGCTGTGGTGGGCTCCACCCAGTTCGAACTTCCTGGCTGCTTTGTTTACTTACTCAAGCCCGAGCAATGGCGGGCGCCCCTCCCCCAGCCCAACTGTTACCTTGCAGTTTGATCTCAGACTGCTGTGCTAGCAAACAGCAAGGCTCCGGGGGTGTAGGACCCTCCAAGCCAGGTGCTGGATATAATCTCCTGGTGTGCCATTTGATAAGCCTGTTGGAAAAGCGCAATATTAGGGTGGGAGTGACCTGATTTTCCAGGTGCCATCTGTCACCCCTTTCTTTGACTAGGAAAGGGAATTCCCTGACCCATTGTGCTTCCCAGGTGAGGTGATGCCTTGCCCTGCTATGGCTCATGCATGGTGCGCTGCACCCACTGTCCAGCACTCCCCAGTGAGATGAACCTGGTACCTCAGTTGGAAATGCAGAAATCACCCGTCTTCTGCATCACTCACGCTGGGAGCTGTAGACTGGGGCTGTTCCTATTCGGCCATCTTGGCTCCACCCTCTAATTTTTAACTTTCAAAAGATTAGATACATTTACCCTCTTCTGAATTTTAATTCCTGATGGAAAGATTGTTAAATCTCAAGAGGATAATGAATCAGCTTCTGATTATATTCTGGAATTGAGATTTGATCACACATCCAAGAATGCGTATTCACTTTCCTTTACATTACACACATGCATAATACCATGCTGAGTGATGCTGGAAAAAGTGAGTCTTCAGTAATGCCCTCATGAAATTACAGTCTCACTACACTGAGGTATTTTCTTTTTAACCCTTTCTTTCTTTTCTGTTGTGAATATGTGCCTTCTAAGAGGTGAACAACGGGAAAAACTGAAAAAGAACCTTCATCTAATTCAGTAACTAGCTTTTGTATCTTCTAAGAATTTTTATCTCCAGAAAGCTCTAATTTTCATTCCTTTACAAGCTTTATTTCTCTCTCCTTTCCAACACCAGACTTTGCTCTGTTTGTTTTCTATATCTTTTTTAGAGATGCCTACAATAGAAAAAAACTATGACATATTCAATACATCTGAAAAGTTTGCATTACCATAGATAAGAATGAATTATCTGTTTATAAAGAAAAAATAATAAAAATATGAACCAAGAAAGCACAGAAGGTAGTAACCACATTTAGATGTTTATCATGGAATCATCTTTATAATCCATCTGTTACAATTCCACACAGCAAATTACAAGTAATTGTGAAGTTTCCCCTCATTTTATAGGTTTGGTCTTATAAGGCATACAACACAAATTTTAATTACTTTTCATTTTGGTATTTGGATCTTAATTTGGTCAAGTGGCCACTGGGTAGATGATGGAGACTCTTGAGACATGCAGTCTTCTTCTAGCTTTGTTGATGTGAATATTACTGTGTATTTTTCATTCACTTATTATTTTACAAGGCATGCTTCATTAAAAATATATCAGCATCTCATTGACAAATCACAAAATTTAAAAGGCACCAGAAAAAAACAATTTATTTAAAACATTCCTGTGTAAAAGTAGTCACCACTCTTACTATTCTTCAAATATTTTTGTTATATTTAAACGCAAGCCTAATTTTATCTCGAGTGTCTGACCTTGATGATATTGTACACTTTAAACTTAGAAAAATTGAACTCTATTGGAAATTTCCTACAGATCAGCTTTTCTAGATGCCAAGCGCCTTGTTTCAGCCATGGTGATGACAGCAAATTGGGTTCTCAGGGATTCTGGCCTCTGGCATCATCTCAGTTGTTTATAATTGAAGTTGGGTCTGATGAGAATGCAGCTTAGATGCATGGTGGGACTGCTGGGCTTAAGGCTGGCCTGCCAGGAGGTTGCATTGAGGTGTAACTAGGCAAAGAAAGAAAGAGTTTATTGAGGCACTACTGACAATAGCAAAGACTTGGAACCAACACAAATATCCAACAATGATAGACTGGATTAAGAAAATGTGGCACATAAACACCATGGAATACTATGCAGCCATAAAAATGATGAGTTCATGTCCTTTGTAGGGACATGGATGAAGCTGGAAACCATCATTCTCAGCAAACTATCACAAGGACAAAAAAACACCGCATGTTCTCACTCATAGGTGGGAATTAAACAATGAGAACACATGGACACAGGAAGAGGAACAGCACACACTGGGGCCTGTTGTGGGGTGAGGGGCTAGGGGAGGGAAAGCATTAGGATATATACCTAATGTAAATGACGAGTTAATGGGTGCAGCACACCAACATGTCACATGTATACATCTGAAACAAACCTGCACGTTGTGCACATGTACCCTAGAACTTAAAGTATAACAAAAAAAAGAAGGGGTTGGGCAAAATTACCAACAATCTTCAACTATGAATTTGTATGAGTAGGGGCTTCCCACACCATCAGGCACTCCAAGTTGGAGAAACAAGGGATGTTGAATTGAAAGTTTAATTTTTTAGGCTTGATAGTCAGATTAGGGAAGTTTTGGGTACACCTTTCCCACTCTAGAGCCCTCTCCCTAACTCAGGGCCAATTTGGGGCATGGGCTCAGTGGAAAAGAGTGCCAAGATCAATTAGAAATATCCATCATGAACATAGGAGGCAGGCATTCTGGCCAAGGGGGTGCGTCTTCCCACTTTGTAATCCAGAGTGCGATTTCTTCTTGCTATCTGTCCCTCCATAAATAAGCGTTGGGTGAAGGACAAGCTAGTTACCATTGAGGATGGAATGAAATTCTACCAGAATTGCAAAATGAACTGAGAGCCACGAAAGTGTTCCTCTGTGAACCAGCAGAGAGATCTGTGGAAGGCAAAGGAAGAGGAGCCAAGAGGCCAGATAACATTCCTGCTTCCCCTACATTGTGAGAATGAAATTGTCAGCAACCTATATCAGTAATTAACCAGAGGCTTTTTAGAGAGTAAGACTTCTGATAGATACCTCAATAGCTGAAGTTGCTCTTCAGTACTGCATATAACCTGTGGACAGATTTTCATCATTATTAATTCATTTATTCAACACATAGATATTAAATTCAAGGCATAGTTCTAAACTATGCAGTCAATTCCAAAAAAATAATAATGAAGGACATTAGCTCTGCCTCATAGGACGTTAAAACTCTAGCTGCTAAATGAGACAAATAGGGTTCCCACATCAAGTGCCTGGGCTCCTGTTATAAACTGGACTCTGCTTCCATTGGCTTCTCTTGTTTCTGTTTTGATAAACCCATCATTTGGCTTAGTCCCTACCCTTGCCATGCTCACCCACCAGTAGGTGGACCTCCTTGACCATAACTACAGACATAGATCTTTGATTGTTTCTTTTCAAATGTTTGCTTACTTTAGAGGTGCAGTCAAATGTTGTTTGGACCATAAGACTCTGAGGCTGTGTGTGGTTGAAACTGTCTTGAGACTCAAAGAGCTATTGAGGAAGGGATTTGATAGCTGAACTCTTTTGAAGATTTTCTCTGTCTCTCACACATCTGGGGCTGAATAGCTTAACGTTTAATTTCTACATCGACGATAGTTTAATAGCCATTCATGCAAATCAGTTCTGCTGTGAGTTATTATCCTACTCCAATACCAACTAACGCATTCCTTAAATTTAGTGTACGTATAAATTCTACATGGTAAGTGAAGCTGTCTTTATGAATGGCTGCTATAGAATATACTAGATTGTGTAGGTTTTAGTACAATCCAGGTAATTATCAAGCCTTTGTAATATTTTCAGGAAAGTGATCCTTTCACTTCAGTTTATGGAACTTGAAAATTTTTTAGTTGCCACCGACTAGTTAGATCATAAACTTAATTCTATGTATCTGAATTTATTTTTCTATTTATAAATTTATCTGGGTGCTTTCTCAAAGGTTTCCCAGATTAAAAACCTATGGCTTTGTAAAATTAAAACAGAAGTAATAGGAATTGAGTTAAAAAACAGAATCAGGCCAAGCCTGGTGGCTTATGCCTCTAATGCCAACACTTAGGGATGCCAAGGGGGGAGGATCATTTGAGGTCAGGAGTTCAAGACCAGCCTGGACAACATGGCAAAACCCCACATGTATTAAAAAAATACACAAATTAGCTGGGCGTGGTGGTGAATGCCTTTAGTCCTAGCTACTCAGGAGGCTAAGGCAGGAGAATAGCTTGAACTTGGGAGGCTGAGGTTGCAGTGAGCCAAGATAGAGCCACTGAATTCCAGCCTGGGTGACAGAGTGAGATCCTGTCTTAAAAAAAAGGAAAAAAGAAAAAGAAAAAACAGAATCATACAATGAGAGAGATTGTATAGCCCTTTTAATTGTCCATAATGGATACATTTCTTTTTCTGTGTAATAGTTTATCAGCATGAAAAAAAAGAGTCACTGAACACTGATAATTTTCTTTCTCTCTCTCTCTCTCTTTTTTTCCTTTTTTTGGAGATGAAGTCTCGCTCTGTTGCCCAGGCTGGAGTGCAATGGCAACATCTCTGTTCACTGCAACCTTCACATCCTAGGTTCAGGAGATTTTCCTGCCTCAGCCTCCCAAGTAGCTGGGATTCCAGGTGCACCCCGTCATGCCTGGATAAATTTTTGTATTTTCAGTAGAGACGGGGTTTCATCATGTTGGCCAGGCTGGTCTCAAACTCCTGACCTCAAATGATCTGCCCGCCTTAGCCTCCCAAATTACTGGTGATGATTTTCATTTAATGGTGTTCTACAAAGTGAGTTTAGGCAGTGAAAGGGCACAAGTCACCTATAGTTTACCAGAAAGTAGTACCAGTCACCAGCGTTGAAGCATACTCCTAACCCTGGAAAATTTCTTCAGCAGCCAGAATTAATCTCAGATTTTGAGACTGGAGCAAAGACTAATTTGGTATGTGTTCATTTAGATTAGTAAATCTCTATGGTGTTCGAACTGTATAATATCAAATCTAAAATAAGTCAAGAGAGTTAGACAATATCTCATCTCTGAGAAAATAAATGCATTATTTTCAAGAGATTTAAGACTGAATTTAAAATCCAACTGCCTGTTCCAGTGTATGTTTCTCTAGAATATGGCCAAGCCCTACAAATTCTGGATAGTGTCCTCCAAGTTGTGTTTAAGTGATAATTGATAAATCTATGGTTTAGATACATATGGAATTCCACATAACTCTAGCTCCAGCCTTTGCGAGTAAAAATTGGCAGTGATCATGGCCTTAATGGAGGCATGTGGTTAATTGGAATTTTCAGTACCAAAAGTCTTCTTCTTACTAGTTTATCAGGGTACCCTATAATAGTATCCATAACTCATTGCCCACTTGTCTGTTTTGATTTCTTTTTTAAAAATACAATTTTAAACTTAGAGGTTTTGTACCTCAAGTCACATATGTGGCACATTTATAAAATAATCATGCCTTTGCATATTTTTCCTTTGATATCTTAGCTGTATATACAAGCCACTTATGTTTTTTAATTGCCACAAATATTGCACTGAAATAGAGCACTAGTTGCAAAAATGCCTGGTATAACATTTCTTCTTGTTCTTGAAAGTAATTTTAATACCCCATGTTTAAGATATTCCTAGACAACTATAAGTAACTATAATTATTTCTGCTAGGTAGAAGCATCTTTGTGGTCAACATTTGTGAAGTGCCTTGTAAATAAAAATATGCTTGAGTAGAAATAGTATTTTGCAAATATAGCCCTAAATAGAGCTACTGATTTTACCAAGAATTAAAGACTCCAAACTCTGTCTTTGTCTTTCAAATTTGGTTTATAGGAACATCTCATTACAATGAGCAAAAAGCCTATCTGATCATTAAAGAGATAATTTTGACACTTTCAAATGACACAGCTAATTTGTAGTAGGTTTTTGAAGTGCAAATTACATGTTTCTGTTTAAATAATGACAGTAAAATATGGACAGTATCTATTCACACTCTATATACACAACTACAACTTGTCCCTAGAAGAAAAGTTTAATTTTTCAGGTCTCATCCACAAAACGAAGTGTTAATAAGCTGTATCTTTATTCTCACTTTTAAGTAATTTCTTCTTAACCATTGTATAACACTACCACAGTTTGTATGGAGATAAAATAACTCATGGTGAGAAATCCAGTTCTTTAAAAAATCATTTTACCTTCAATCACTTTTAGGATGTCTATGGTTTTAGAGTAAGGACGAAAATTTATAAACATTTGTTAAATTATGCAACTGTGTTTGAAGATGTTTCAAAATTACATTTTCCTTATTTTACAACTAGTTTTCATGTATTCACAAACGAGACACATGAGAATTATTAATGCAAAAGCACAGCATATCAACAAAGTTTATAATGTAAATAGTTTAGTTAGGAAAGAATGTAATGAGTGAATTATCAAAGCTATTTTATTGGTTCCTAGATTTACCATAGAAGAAAATAAAGCAGCCTTTTAAAAATTTCTCAGCACTGAGTCCATTTAAGGTCTGTATTGTATGCCGTAAGTTCTAAAAAATGTTATTGCCGGTAAAAATAGGATGCCTATCTAAAATTGTCTTTTTAAAGGTTCTCTCTTATTCTTCTTCCCTTCCTATGTGTGCACAGAATACTGTCATCGTCTTGATTGGAACACTATCTCTCTTTCTCAGAGGGTGTACATTTGTAGAAGGGAGAAAATATTTGTTAATTTTGCTTCCTGTAAGATAAGGCCTCAATGGTTAAAGGTTAGTTAACAAACTTTTTTTTTGTCTTCATACTATTATCTTGGAATTACCAACTGGCTTCTACTTGGATTTTGAATAATGAAAGAAAAGAACTAGCATTTGTTAGAACTTACTGTGTTCCAGAAACTTTATTGATGCCATTTCTTCTCATTATCACATTCATTCTTTCAATTAGTATAATTTTTTTCCATCTTAATGAGGTGGGACCAGAGGTTTTGTAATATCCACTAACCCACTGTGGATTTCATGGATTGCAAGAGGAAGAAAGCATGGTGGAACTCAGGTTTCTCTGATTCCAAATTCACATCCTTTCATGTCTCCATGAAAAATAGAAAAGATAAATTGGGCTCTATTCTAACAAGAGAAACACAATTTTCCGTCAGTTAAATGAATAATTCTTTTTTATTTTATTTTATTTTATTTTTATTATTATACTTTAAGTTTTAGGGTACATGTGCACATTGTGCAGATTAGTTACATATGTACACATGTGCCATGCTGGTGCGCTGCACCCAGATACCTAAATGAATAATTCTTAAACCTCAAAAATAAAAAGTAGCAAAACCTCAATTCAAGAGTAGACATAAAGGTTGTGACATGGGTGGCAGGGACATATGTCTAGTGACAGATTTCCTATGCATATCTGACCAAAAATCCCCCTCATGATTTTCAAATCAGATGCTTAACTACATTTAATGAGTTTCCCGAATCATTAATATCAGGCTCTGAAAACAGGATC